>NC_000009.12:99432673-99584188 GCF_000001405.40 Homo sapiens
ATACTAAGTGTCTCATTAGAATGAGAAGAAAAAAAGATTTATTTTTGAATTTTTCCTTTTACAAAATTTAGAATCACAAATCCTTTGACTTTGAATTAAAAAAGAACTTCGAAACGATCTAGAGCAATGTCAGCTGATGACACCAGATCTGTGTTTCTAGCTTCAAGCACTCCTCTGGGCATGAGACTGGTTTATTCAGCTCATGGACACGTCAGTTGGTTGAACATGGATGCTTCCATTTCAATAGGTCAGAAATTCGATTCATCATTTCCCACCCCCCTTCTGCTTTGGGTGTTTTATTTAATTAAATCATCAGGTGCCCAGTCACCCAACCCAGGAGCCAGCAGGCCATCCTCTGTAGAATGCGGGAAGTGCGTTCCTACAGTGGACATCACCTACTGATCCTGCATCTAAAACACCTCTATGCTTCTCTCCCTCTCTCATGCTCTTGAATCCACTGCTCCTCCCACATACTGGCTTCGTTATCTCTCCCCTGCCTCTTCTGCCTTCAGTGCTTTAGGAATATATTGCCTAGCATGAAATATTCTTCTCTCTTGCCTGAATGGAAAATTCTTTGTTCTTTCAAGACCCGGTTCAAATATCACTTCCTCTCTGTGTTATTAACCTACGCTTGATCTGCACTCCCCACAAATTATTGTCAATGTCTAACATCATGGCTGTGTACATATCCTCTCTTCCACAAAACAATGTACTCTTTTTATTTTATAGTTTGGGAAACTCTGGCCCCCAAACACTAAGACTAAGTGACGTACTGAAGTTCAAGTTCACTCAGTTTGTCAACAGCAGATCCAGGACTACAAGATAACCTAGGAACAGAGCTCATCCCCATGGCCCCCCTATGATAAAATGTCCCCTGCTTTTTTAGCCATAGCAAGTATCTGCTGGGCTGAGGCCTTGGTTGTCTTTGAGAGTGAGGCTGTACCCCTCAAGGATGTGTCCTGTGTTGAGGGTAGCAGGGCCTGCCTGCAAATATCCGGGTCAGCAGGCCAGGAGAGTTCACACTGAGGGGCTGGGCAGGGGTGTTCAGGCTTTGCTCACAGGATGACTCACGGAGAGGAAGTGCCACTCAGATTTGTGAGTCACCCTCTTGGGCTCCACAGAGGCCCTGTCACGCAGGAGCCTGTCAGCTTTCATCTCCATCTCTCCAACCCCTAGGGCCAAAAGTCAAACTTGGTTTCTGCTTACTTGTTTGATTTTTAGTGGCTCCTCCAGCTCCAGAACCTTTAGCAAGCAGCTTCCTTTGAAAGTTTAAGATGGAAATCTCTAAGCTGGCCCTGTGCTTCCCCTGACAAGTGTGTAATCGATGGGAAATCTCTCACTGGAGGCTATCCTATCTGGAGTCTTGATAAAAGGCACTTTCAGAGAGGTGAAAGGCTCTTAGAGACCTTTTACAAAGAACTAAGCTGGCCTAAAATTGTCACCTTTATCCTCCCAGGTGACCATTCACTATCACCAACTCTCTGGCAGAGAAAAATGTGAGGATACAAACACAAAGAAAATCACTCCCTTAATACACACGGGGTAGAATCCTCTTTGGGTCAGACAGAAAAGCAGTGACTTGGGAGAAAATTGTGAAGGGTGGTTGGATGCTAGGAGCTGACTGGGCTGCATCTTTGAGCTTTAGTTCTACCCTTCCAAGTCTCCTGTCCTCCTTGAAGTTCTCTGCTTTTGATTTCTGTGGCCACCAGCACATATGGCCCTGTTTCTCTTGAACATACTTGAAATGGGCCAATACTTTCTAAAAGGCTTTACTAACACACTGAAGAAATGAACATAGAGAAATACCAATGGCATTGAGAACAATCCAGTTTACTCACAACTATATCTTGGGCCTAAGAATCCCAGAGCAAGCATAGGAGACCTTCATCAAGCTTTCCCAAAGCCCCTATTCAATTCCACCCTCTGCCTTGCTTCTTCTCCAACATTCCTGCCCTTCCCTCAGCCATAAGGCTTCTGGGTACCATTTTGTTTTCTGGCACCTGGAAGATAGTATGAAGGATCCTCTTGTTCAAACCAAATCAGAGGAGGGAAGACCAGTGAACAGATAATTGAACGCTGAATTAAAGCAGTGCAGGTGGAGCGAGGCAGCAGTATAAAGACAAAATAAACATTTAGGAGTTGGAATAGATGGAATCTGGGGACCTGTTAGACCTGGAGTGGAAAGATTGAATCTTTTTTTTTCTTGTTTTATAAGTTATCTGTCAAACTCAAGCTGGGATTTCCAATACCATTTGGATGTTGGAAATAGTATTGCTAAAAAACAAATTAACATCAGAAACAGGAGAAGCACAGAGAGATACAAGAGATAGAGAAATTTTGTTATTAATAAAGATATATGTAACAGGGTGTCACTTTTTAAAAAATCTAATTTGTTGTTATAAGTTACATAGTATAAAATGCCTAAATTTTAAGTGTACAGATTGTGAGTTTTGACAAATGTATATACCCGTATAATTATCACCTCAATCCGCAAACAAAACATTTCCATCACCTCAAAATATTCAAAATGTCTTGCCCAGTCAATAACCCCACCTCCATCCCCAGGCAACCAACGATCTGCTTTCTGTCACTATAGATTAATTTTGCATGTTCTAGAACATCACAGAAGTAGAACCATACAGCACATAATCTGTTGTGTCTGGCCATCTTTCACTCAGCATTATGTTTTTGAGATTCATTCCCATGTATCAGCAGTTCATTTCGTTTTGCTGCTGACTAATATTCCACTGTTTGGCTATATCACAGTTTGTTTATCCACTCACCTACTGATGGATGTTTGGATTACTTCTAGTTTTTAGCTATTAAAAATAAAGCTGCTATGAATGTTTGCATACACTTCTTTGGGTGTATTTCCACATATTTCCATTCCCCTGGGGAAAAACCTGAGTGGAATTGTTAGGTCACATGTTAGGCATACATTTAACTTTATAAGAAAATGGCAGCAATTTTTTTAACCAATAGAACACTTTTTATCATTATTTGCCACAATTCAAGGATGAGGAAAAAATAAATTTAGCCCAATCCTACTTGAATTAAGTTAGTGGGTCCTGAATTAAAAAGATTAAGTAATTATAAAATGTTAGTCTAAAAAATATTTCTATAAAAAGTGTTTCTAAAAAAGTATGATGTACACCAAGGGGGGGAAATTTTTGTGAACTTGGTATATTTTCTCCAGAAATGACCAGCACAACATTGTTATTTTATTAATGGGATTCAATTATATAATGTACAACTGTGAAGGGCTCCACACACATACATGGGGTATTGTCATTTTACTCTAATGGAAGCTGTTAGGGGACTTGCAGCATTGTTTTGCTTATAAAATCATGTGGACCCAATGTATGCTGGGATATCATCCTTCTGAGTTCACTCAGCCAGAAAGTTGAGCATGTATGTTGCCAGGTAAGCCGGCAACTTGGAAAATTATAGCTCCACTGTTCTTAAGGGTTCCCCTGTGGTTGGGAGCCTTAACATTGCCCCCAAGGGGCCTAACATCTCCAGGATCAGCCTAATCATTGGCTCAGTAATTTCTTTAGAAGCTGATTGACAGCAGGTGCCAATCTAGATAATCACCAGAGAGCTCCAATTAAAAGCTCTACCCATCGATCCCAACCGCCAGGACTTGGGACTTTAATACAAATCCACAAGTAAAAAAAGTTACCCCCTAAGAAAAAAAAAAAGCAGCATTTTTGTGGATGCACCATATTATATGGCGAGGTTATACATTATTTATAATTCATAGATGCATTTTTAATTTATCCTCCTAAATGTTGCATTGTTAGTCTAATAAGGTTGGTATTCAGATCCTTTCTTTTTCAATTCTCCACCTTGGAAAGGGACATTAGTCTGGAAGAAAATATAAATGAAAAAGTATTTTTAGCACTGACAAAAATAGGAACCATTTGTAAGTAATTTGTTCTATTGTAATTGCCGGGGACTTCATTAACCACCTAAGGAGGAAGTGCCCAATGTTTTTACTAGTCTTCCAGATAAGACCAAGTTTAAAACACACACTCTCTATTGGGATTATGTGAAGATGTTAAAACTTCACCAGAAAGGTGACAAGGTGTCTTGATAATTGAGGCAATCTTGGAAGTCGGTTGGTGTGTCCAACAGCTATGAACTAATAGTGGCTAATCAAACACAGCAGGTCTCACAGATACCAGCAAATGCCAAACAGCTTCTTGTATGCACGGAATTCAGTCTTAATTAGTCACAGAGGAGGAATAGGCACATTTAAACTAATCCGAGGAATCATTATTGTTTGAGTTGCTTACACACAAACATGAAAACTGCTGCCCTCAAAACAATCAGTTCCCGCCTGCAAAGGGAGGGTGTACAAGATAGTCCACTGACCTTTATAAAAAGGACTGTCCAGAGGAGGATTCTCTCCAACATGTCTCCTTTTTATTATATCCTGGGCCTATTTCTCAGTAGCTCTATCTCACCTGGTAAATAATATATGTATGGTGCATGTTAACTCGAGAGTGGCTACTGACAAGAAATATAAATGAACTTTTAAATTGTTTGGATAGTTTGATGGATGAAGAGCTATAAGTACCAGTGGCAGAGAGTGAGATAGACATGACTATTAAGGCAGGCTTTCCACAGCTGTCCTGTAACAGGTGTGTCAACTGGGGATTTTCCTGTTGCCCCAGGACTGCTGCCAAGACCCTGAATGGAGAGAGCAAAAGGCACTTGGTGCTCCACTTTGGATGTTCAGGCCCAGCCACAACAACACGGACTTACTGAGAGTGCTAATTCCGGAATCATCTGCCAGATCCACCACCCATACCCAAACTCCATAGGAAGAAAAGACCTGAAGCTTGAGAGAGGATCAGCCTTGTGGTAGTGCTGCATTTGTGGAGACAGGCTATTCCCTTCCCATAAGGCTAAGGGGGTTCTTCCTGCTCTTAGACTCTCTTGAGGTTATGTGTTTTCCTTCTCTAAGTATTCACAAAGAAAGGAGATGCCTGCAAGGAGAAGAGCCAGCATTTCATTTCTTTATCACTGCTCAGGCTGTGTAATCTGAATGAGAAAAAGAGACAGTCTCCCCAGCCTCCTCATATGTGGAGGTCCCTGACTGCCCTCATGTAGAGGACAATGAGGCATCCATATCAGAGGAACATTGTGAGAAGTCCACTAGCTGGGGTTCAGTTGAAACTTGCTGCCAAACTTTTCAAGGGACCTCTAATGGCCAAAGGAGCTTCCTGGACACAAGTCCCTAATCAACCTGTCATGTTGAAGCCACCACTGTCCTATCAAAACTGCAGAAGATGAGTTTGACTTTCCGTGAGCCACCCCGGAGGCTACAACCTTACCCAGTTAAATAAAGAGACATCTTCTCTTTCCTTTCCCCTCCTCCCTCGCCCAAACCAAAAGCCTCAGCACCCAGAAGATGGAAGGGAAGGTGGTGTTTGAAACCACACCCAGCCTCCCTTCACCCCCTCCCAAACATATAGGATCAAGGCGCTTGCTGCTGTGAGGGCCCATTCCTTCTCTGTCCCTGGATGCAAGTCTAGGCAAGTCCCTTAACCTTTCTAGGAACTCACAGATAACAAAAAGTCCCGATGCTTCCAATCACAAAGACATTCTCCTCTCAGTAAATAAAATGAACAGTTGAAATGCAACTGTTGAAACTTTACTGCATTCAAAGTTAAAGCTCTCTGTTTCTCTCCCTCACCCACCATCTCTGGCCTGCCTCAAACTTGGAGACCCATGGCGGGTCAGCTTCTTTCCTGTTGTTTCCCCACCTTGGTCTTCTATTTCTTACCCCCTCACTGGGCTGTCTCTTGCCCTCTTAGGGCTGGAAATAAGAGGGGGAAAGTGGAGAGGGAGTGCAGAGAGAAGAATAGACAGGAAATGTGCTCCCTGGCTGGCACAGACACAGTCAGGTGCCGGTGCCCTTTGAGCAGAGCAGAGTCCCAGTGCTGATTCTGTCCCCAAGGGGTGCTTTCATGATGTCCCTGAGACATTCTCCTTTGCAGCCTCTGACTGCATCCCGCCTGATGTGAGTGAAGCTTCCCCTCAACCGCTGTGTATATGGAGGATCTTTCTATTGCCCTTCTGGGAAATCCTCTTTGAGGGAATCCAGGATGACTCCAAGCTGACTCCCTCCCTTGTGACCATGTCTGGATCTGGTCCCTGAGATACTCTCATCCACCCAGCACCCCACTACTCATAGAGGTGCAGCTTGCTCCCAACACAGTTTCCATTTATTGCCATAGATTCTTTCAAGCAGGCTCTTGCCTATGTGTGTGTTTTTTTCTTTTTTTAGGCCTGGGCCTGGCATTAAATTCTGTGCTACAGAACTTCAAGAATCACAGGTCAAATTGCCTGAATGGTTCTCTTAAGGCTCCCTCTCTCAGTAGGGAGAAAAAACCCAACCCCGCTCCTTGTGAAGTAAGGGAAAAAAAGCTGCATTGCATAACCAATTTTCTCCAAAGAGGTTCTCTCTTAGCCCCTCCAGCTTCAACCTTCTTATGCCTTCAGGGTGGGTGATGGGCTAAGAATCAGCAAACTGTTGTTGTTGTTGTTTTAAAAAAAAAACAACAGGTCTTTTTAAGACCTGCACAGTCTATTCCAACACTCTGCTTAAGGATGTAGAGATACTTGAGACTATTACTTTGTTCTTAGCCAGCCATTGTGACCTCAAACAAAACACAGACAGAAAGAGCCTTGTTTTAACATCCTGTTATCAACTGCTAGGATGTGAACACATTCCCTTATCTCACCTTACTTTAGTAAAGTCTACTACACTCGGTACTAATAAGTACAATGAAGAGGTGAAGACGATATGTGTTTGAGAATAATACATCAATGAGGGAAGGAATTAGAGCTAGAGGTAGCCCTGGAACATAAGCCATCCAGAATTCATAGATATCTTAGGAGGAGGAAAGGACATTGAACTTCCCACAGAATATGGGCAAAGTATCAGGCTAGGTGTGGTGGCTCATACCTGTAATCCCAGGACTTTGGGAGGCCGAAGTGGGAGGATCACTTGAGGACAGGAGTTTGAGACCAGTCTGGGCAACATAAGATGACTCTGTCTCTACCAAAAATAAAAATAGCCAGGAGTGGTGACATGTGCCTGTAGTCCTAGCTACTTGAGAGACTGAGGCAGGAGGATCCTTTAAACCTAGGAATTTGAGGCTGCAGTGAACTGTGATCACACCACTGCACTTAAGCCTGGGTAACAGAAAGAAAAGAAGGAAAGAAGGAAAGAAAGAAGGAAGGAAGGAAGGGAGGAAGGGAGGGAGAGAGGGAAGGAGGGAGGGAAGGAAGGGACTCAAGCCAACATTACTCTATTCTGAATTCTCTGTCAGTCATTTTATATATCTCCTTTTCTTCTGGGCCTATTACTGGAGATTTATTAGTTTCTTTTGGTGATATTATATTTTCTGACTTTTTATAATCCTTGTGTCCTTACATTGCTGCTTGTGCATTTGAGCAGATGGTCACCTCTTCTAGCCTTTGCAGGTGTTCTTTGATGGTGACAGACTTTTACTATTTAGGGCTGGGGATTCTGGATGGGCTATCTGGTTGCAACCCCAGATGGGTAGACCTTGTTGTCAGGCTCCCTAGTTGGACTGGATCACTTCCTTTGTTCTAAGGTCAAATGGCATTACTGGCTGTGCTCTGTGGTTTGGTGAGACCACTGGCTAGACTCTGTCATTAAGAGGGGCTTCTGGCTAGGCTCTTTGATTGTTTCTGATTGGAGAGAGTTCCAGGTTGTCTCCTCCGGTTGTGTAGTACAGTTTTTGGAAATCTGTACCATATTTCCTGTGGTGTGATGTTGTTGGCTAGTTTCTCTGGTGTCACTTAATTGGCTGGAATGCAGAGCAACCATCAGGATCCCTCTGCTGGTCGCTGTGAGCCCCACCTCCATTTTTTGTCTCCAACTGGTCTAGCCCTGCCAGCATTCTCAATGTTTTAGGACAAGACAGGAGTGAACCTCCTACAAAGGGTCCTAGAATGATGGGGAAGCCCAATGACTGCTTCTAATTCACCCCTCCCACTGCAGAAACCATGGGCCCAGAGGAACTCTCTGCATGTGGCATGGTGCCAGTCTGGGGGAGGGGCAGTGTAGTCAAAACAGAATCAGTCCTCTAACTGTTTGGTTGCAGCTTTTCTCAATTCTGTGGTCTAAGGCGATGTCTCAGCCTCACTCCCAAGTTCTGGAATTTTCACATTGATATTCTTGCCTGTGGGTAATTGCTAGTTGAATTTCTGGGGCAGGGAGAGAAGCTAGGGAACTCCTGTTCCACCATCTTACTGATGTCACTCTCCCAACATTATTTTAAGTCTTAAAGAATAGAATAACTTCACTGACATCTGGGAATATTACTATTATTACTTGTTGAAATGTTGGAAATGTGCTAGGTAATTTTGGTGGCAGGCTCCAGTGGAGCTTTGGGAAGGCCTTATTATAAAGTAGTAATCTACTGAGATGCTCTGAAACTTGGGAAACTCTGAATATTCTTGGGTTACTTGAGTTTTTAATTATATTTCTCCCAGGTCCCCATTTTGCATTTCATTTACTATCCTTTCCCCCAGTTTATTCACTTTTGCTCACTGGAATGTCCACCACAATCCTAGTGATATTTTAAGATAAAAATTATTGTAAATGTATCTTAATATTCCAATTTTTTTTTTTTTTTTTGAGATGGAGTCTCACTCTGTCACCCAGGCTGGAGTGCAGTGGCGTGATCTCTGCTCACTGCAAGCTCCGCCTCCCGGGTTCACGCCATTCTCCTGCCTCAGCCTCCCAAGTACCTGGGACTACAGGCACTCGCCACCACGCCCAGCTAATTTTTTTTTTGTATTTTTGGTAGAGATGGGGTTTCACCATGTTAGCCAGGATGGTCTCGATCTCCTGACCTCGTGATCCACCCACCTCAGCCTCGCAAAGTGCTGGGATTACAGGCATGAGCCACTGCGCCCAGCCTATTCCAAAATATTTTAATATTCACATGACCTTTTGGAGGAATAAAACAAAGAGAACTTGAGATTGTGAGAGAAATAATTTGAAACTGAAAACAGGCAAATAAGGTTAGTTAGAGTGTTCTTTCAATCCTCATTGGGGCCTAACTTTCTATTAACTAGGTTATTTTACAACTCTGTAGGGCCAGTGACCAGCTTATAGATTTTTGTCTGTAGAGATAAAAATGATTTTTGTCTGGTAGAACAGATAATCCCAGTGAGTTATGGTCTATGGCCCTGTTGGACACTGATAGGTTTGATATCTAAACTAGCAATCATTCTAATATTGCCCATAAATATAATATTCTACTTCTCAAAATTTCTTTGGAATGGTTTTAACATCTTAGTGGTTCCCTCACTAATGAATGAGTTGAATAAAATCTTTGACATGTAACCAAAACAGCATGGTACTGGTACAAAACCAGACCCATATACCAATGGAACAGAATAGAGAACCCACAAATAAGACTGCATACCTACAACTACCTGAACTTTGACAGACCTGACAAAAACAAGCAATGGGGAAAGGATTCCCTATTCAACAAATGGTGTTGGGATAACTGGCTAGCCATATGCAGAAATTGAAACTCGACCCCTTCCTTACACCATATACAAAAATTAACCGAAAATGGATTAAAGACTTACATGTAAAACCCAAAACGATAAAAACCCTGGAAGAAAACCTAGGCAATACCATTTAGAACATAGGCACAGTCAAAGATTTCATGACAATGATGCCAAAAGCAATTGCAAGCAAAAACTGACAAATTGAATCTATTTAAACTAAAGAGCTTCCGCACAGCAAAAGAAACTATCAACAGAGTAAACAGACAACCTACAGAATGGGAGAAAATTTTTGCAAACTATGCATTTGACAAAGGTCTAATATCCAGCATCTGTAAGGAACTTAAACAAATGTACAAGAAAAAAACAACTCCATTAAAAAGTGGGCAAAGGACATGAACAGACACTTTTCAAAGGAAGACATACATGCGGCCAACAATCATATGAAATAAAGCTCAACATCACTGATCATTAGAGAAATGCAAATCAGAACCACAATAAGATACCATCTCATGCCAGTCAGAATGGCTATTACTAAAAAGTCAAAAAATAGCAGATGCTGGTGAGGTTGTGGAGAAAACGGAATGCTTATACACTGTTAGTGGAAGTGCAAATTAGTTCAACCATTGTGGAAGACAGTGTGGTGATTCCACAAAGACTTAAAGACAGAAATACTATTCAACCCAGCAATCCCGTTACTGCGTATATACCCAAAGGAATATAAATCATTCTGTTATAAAGATACATGCACGTGAATGTTCATTGTAGCATTATTCACAATAGCAAGACATGGAATCAGCCCAAATGCCCATCAATGTTAGACTGGATAAAGAAAATGTGGTAGATATACACCATGAAATACTATCCAGCCATTAAAAATAACTATATCATATATTTTGCTGGGACATAGGTGGAGCTGGGGGCCATTATCCTTAGCAAACTAATGCAGGAATAGAAAACCAAATACCACGTGTTCTCACTTATAAGTGGGAGCTAAATGATGAGAGTACATGGACACATAGAGGGGAATAACATACACTGGGACCTATCAGAAGGTGAAAGGTGGGAGGAGGGAGAGGATCAAGAAAAATAACTAATGGGTACTAGGCTTAATACCTGGGTGATGGAATAATCTGTACAACAAACCTCCCGTGACACAAGTTTACCTATGTAACAAACCTGCACATACATCCCCAAACTTAAAATAAAAGTTAAAAAATCTTTGACATATGTTCATTTCATATTTAAGAGAAAGTAGTAATTTTATATTTTTGAAAGTTATTCTCTAATAAGATTAAAGTACAATACTCCCTACTATTTGATGATAACACTATTTTACATGTCTACAGAAATTTGTAATATGCATCTCCCTTTCTGCAATGAGAATCTCCTTGAAAATTATTACTCTGGCTGTCTTGTGTACCACTGTATTCCTTCTGTCTGGCCTCATGTACTGACCTCCTAGTACATGATAGGAGGTCAATTAATATTTGTTATGAATCTTATTTAACATTCATGTGCTCCTGTAAGGTAGCTAGAGAGATCCTCTTTCTTCATTTTCACAGATGAAATGTATTTGGATAGCTTGTCCAATGTCACACAGTTAGTAAGTTAAGAGAGCTGTGATTCAACCAAGCCTTCTTATTTTTAGGGCAATGCATCTTCTAGCACACCATAATTGTCTCTTATTTTGTAAACGTGCACTTAATACCACCAGACAAATTCAAAATACTTTATCACTAAAGTCTTCCTTAAGTGACTGCTTGTTGTTAGGATGCTCGTAAAAAAAATTTAATATAATTTAATATATAAAATTCACAATTTACATTTATGAACATGAAGCTAACTAAAATCACTGCAATAATATCTAGAGAAATAAGTAAATAAATTTGAAGGAGATGATTTATTATTGAAACACTGGGCTCATTTTTGCCCTAATATAGCAGTGTATCTTGATTAAAGAAAAATCCAAATTATGGGAATTTCATTTTCCAAACAAGTCACAATTAACACTGGAAAATCAAAAGCTGGCTCCAGTCTGCAGCGATAATTTTCTTTAGTCCATATATATATATATTTTTTGGATACCAATTGAATCTTTCCCACCCCATGCTCCCACAAAAAAAAAAAATCAGACATACAAATCACAGAAATTGTTGGCCTTTTTGAAGTATGCTACAGCCTCATTTCTTTCCATTCTTACTGCCAGCACCTATTACAAACCATTATCCTCTCTTCTCTGAATTGTCTCAAAAACCTCCTAGCTGATCTCCATGCACCTGTTCTTATGCTCCTCTCACGTCAACACTGCAAGTAAAGTGATTTTTTAAAAAACACGATCTGATCTTGTTTCACGCTTGCTTAAACCCTCTCTGTGGCCTCTCATGCTCTTAGATTAACCCAATTCTTTAACATGGGCCAGAGGCTTCGCAGGATTTGGCCCTGCCTGACTCTGCTTCCAGTCACTCTTGTCCTTGCTCACACTAACACTTTCCCATTTCAGAACCTTTGCACATTCTAATTCCTCTGCCTGGAAAATTCTACCTTTACCCTCACCTAGCTAACTCCTGCTCCCCATCAGGTCTCAGCTTTCATGTCACTTCCTTGGAGAAGACCCCATGCTCTTCCAGGCCCTGCAACACACTTGTAATTGCTTTGTCAACATCCATCATCCCACCAGACTATACGTTGCTTGAGGCCAGACTTGATATCTATCTGGTCTGCAGCCCTATGTTCAATGCCTAGCCCAGTGCCTGATGCACACTGTGTTTTACCAGCTCAAAGATGCATATTTTTTCCTATTTTTACAAATTTGAAATCAGGATCCATCTTTCAATCATTCATATGTCATAGTTTATTTGGCAGCATTTTTCTTTCCTAGTGTGGGTGAAATAATTGTGTATCTTACAATCAGAAGTATCTTACATTTAAAGAAATGGTGGCTGCCAAATGAATGACTACCTGTAATGAAAATGCCAGTAGTTCCTTTTTTTGTGTGTGTGTGCCTGAACACAGAAATTCTACTACTTATGAATGGCTGGGTTCTGAAAGGCAGTTTGCAAGCAGCGAAGCTAGAGAGCCAGCTGCTGGTTTCCTCCATTGGTAGTGGGTGGCATCGATTTGTCTTTACTCTAGTACTAGCTAGACATTATGCATGTTGGACGTTCACAGGGAGAGGAATGTTGTATCTGGGACAACTCATGCAAGCTCCTGCCTGCTGCTCTGGTGTCTGCTGATTCAACTTCTGTCAACACAATTCCATGTCCCAACCACTGCTGTCAGCACCTCCCCTGCCAAAGCTGATGTCACATCAGCTGCCCCAGCTCAGATCAGCTCCCCCATCACTGTCCTCCTTACACGCCAAATAGCTGTTTCTCCTGGCCAGCTGAACAGAGCAGTCCTTTGGTGTTCAGAAGACATCTTTCTCTATCATATATTCAGATGCCTATGTTGGGAATGCAGCCAAAGCCCTGAGAGAGAAGCAAGGTGCTACAGAGTGCTTGATCACTCATCACATTCCCGCCTTGACCATTGGTCCAGAGCCCTGAGGCTACCGGAATGGGTGAATCACTTCTTCTTGGAATCCCAGCATAACTCTGGGGCAATTCTAACAGAGAAGCAGCTATATATAGGGCCCAATACCTTCCAGTTTTGTCTTTTACATAAAACATTAGCTTGTTTTTCCCCCTTCTTAGGAATCAGCTTTTCCTCTGATGGAGGTTGTTTCACTCTGACCTTATCCTGAGAAAACTCCCTCCTTATCTGTGGGCATGTCTTGACTCTAGCAGAAGTAGACATAAGTAGAGCGGGTTTGTTCATTGACTGTGGCCTTTGATAAGTTGCATCCATGATAGACGAGGCTGCTATTTCTGGGTGTCCGCCCCCATCATTACCCATGCCCGGGGCTTTACAAAATAGCTGGGTTGAATCACACTGACAGAATCTTTTAGTCACTTTCAATTCTGCCAAGGAAATATAGGCATGAGCTTTCAGATTCTAAATTAACTTTGATTCCTACCAGATCCCAGTCCCTTTTAGGTCACAAAGCATCTGAAAACTCAGTTGAACACTTTCATTTAAAAAAAGGAAAGAGAACAGATAAGGGATAAATAATTGAAGCCAATAAAGGATTAAGATCTATGTCAAATAAAGATTTTATCCAAAATGTAAGAAAAACGGAGATCCCAATAAACTATTGAGATCTGTCCAAACTTTCCAACCCTGAATGGAAGCCAAGACAGAAATATCCAGTTAAAGGGGTCACTGAAATGTGGTTGGCTGAGGACTTTCCCCTCAAGAGCAGCTCATCCTGGCATTAGGAAGCTGGGCTGAACAAGGAGCCACATGTGGATTTGAATCCAAAGAGCCAAAGAAGAACATCTGATGAGGCCACAACTGAGAGACCAGGAGCAGGTGTCAAAAGCTGAAATATGGGCATAAGGGATGGAGGGAAAATATTGCAATGTATAGAAACATTAGGCTCCCCTAAGAAAACAAGTGAAATTATCACATGAACAATTTTTAAATGGGGCGCATAACAACACTTGTCAATACTAGAGAAGGGTCTCAACCACATTATGAATTTTTTTTTTTTTTTTTTTTTTGGTGGAGGCGGGGATGGAGTTTCACTCTTGTCACTCAGGCTGGAGTACAATGGCACAATCTCTGCTCACTGCAACCTCCACCTCCGGGGTTCAAGCAATTCTGCTGCCTCAGTGTCTTGAGTAGCTGGATTACAGGTACCCAGCACCACACCCAGCTAATTTTTGTATTTTTAGTAGAGACGGGGTTTCACCATGTTGGCCAGGCTGGTCTCAAACTCCTGACCTCAGGTGATTCACCCACCTTGGCCTCCCAAAGTGCTGGGATTACAGGCATGAGCCACTGCACCCTGGCCACATTATGAATTTTGAGTAATTTCTAATCTTCAAATGGAATAATTGGACACCTCATTGAAGAAAGTCTCCAAGGCAAAGGACAGCCCCAATTTGTGAAGGGTGAAGGCTGGAGGACAGACACGGCCACCAGAGAGCAGGGACCACTTCACTTTGAAAATGCACTTGATGCCATAGAAAAATCTTTGGGAATCAGCTGTACTGGCAGCCCAGGAGAAACCTGTTGCACTCAGCAGAAAACCCAAGACAGCAGGGTTTCACTCTGAGCAGGAGTCTCTCTTAAATGGCTCTGCTCTTTTCTGATATGGCCAGCTTTCCCTGATGTGGAAGACAGAAATACAAGCAGGCTGTCGGTCACAGACACTCTGCCTTCATGGATTGAAGGCTAAGGCAGACAGAGATTTGGGTGCAAGTTTTGTTAACATAAACTTCGCCTTGTACAAGATCCCTCCTACCCATAGGCTGCTGCATCCTTGAATGAGGACTACAATCAACCAGCCCTCCAGTTAAAGACTTAAGGATTCTAGATTCATCCAAGTAAGACCTAAGGAGAATTCACTTGCCTTAATTTTGGGCAAATATAGGACCAAATATTCAGATATAAACACACACACATACACACACACACACACACACACACACACACACACACACACAGTCCACAGAAGGGCTATAAAATATCTCCTACAACTTAGAGGATAAATGTAACACTCAGAGATAGAAAAAGGTTGTTCCTAAAATACACATTTTTCTCAGGCCATAGAAGTACATTTTGGAGAGCATCTGCCTTATACCCTTGATGAAATAAGAGCAAAGCTTCTAAGAAACAAGAAATGAAAGATGAGATGGTAAAACAATATGTTAATATATAATAAGGTAGTTAATGAAAGGATATATGTAAAGATAATGCTACAGAATAATTTGATAATTGGCAGAAGCAGTAAAGGACAGCACTAATTTTGCAGAAAATTAGATCTGTAATGTGGAGGATAAGCCTGAGGCAATCTCAGAATGCATAGCAAAAAGACACAGATTAAAGTGATAAAAGAGACATAAGTGGAGGCCAGAAAATGAAGAAATCATCATGTGAGTTGGCTGCATACTAGCTCTAAAACTGTTTCTTCTACTATAAAATGGGGTGATTAGGAATACTACTCTATGGGGTGCTATAAGGGTTGATTAAGAAAATAAGTAAATTAGAAAGTGCCTAGCATTTAGAAAGTATCAAATAAATGGTAGTTGTTACTACTATTACTACTAATATTATTATTAAATAAATGAGCACAGGGTCATATCAAGAAAAAATCAATACCACTGACTGTGGTCATTTTCCTGAGACTATGAGTTAGATTTTGTCAGCAAGTAGATTTTTTTTAAGAAGGGCTCATAGCTGCTATAGTTCCTGGATTTTTTTTTAAAGAATGTCTGCTTTTTATCTTCATACATAAATTATAATTTAATGAATACAAAATGTTTAGGTAAAACTTCCTAAAAGAATTTTGCATACAGTTTCTCATTGTCTTCTGAGATTAAATGTTACAATGGAGAAATCAGAGACAAGCTTGAGGTTCTTACATGGAATTCTTTATATGGAATAAAAATTGCAGATATAACATTGTCTTCGAAGCTTAGTAACTCAACATATATCTAAGGGTTATTTGGTTCTGTCTTTTTTTTTCCTTTCTGGATTCAGTTCTCTTAACCTGCAGGTTCAGCTTTTGCTTTATTATAGGAAAGTTTTCTTCTATGATATCCTTCAATGCATTTATGTCTTATGTGTTTGTTCTTTTCCAGCAACATTGCTATGCTTATGTTGGTTGGCCTTTATCTTCCATGACCATCATTTTTCTTTCTAACAATTTATATACATCTTTACAGCTTCTTTAATTTACTCAAGCCTCTCCTTGAGCTCTTGAATCTGATTATTGCAGCTTCTAAAGTGACTTCTTTTTCTATAGTGGTTTTATTGTAGTTTTCAGTTTTTTTCCTAAACATTGCCAGCTCACTTTTTCTCCTTTGGCTATCTTAGAATCTCTTCCTTGAGTCTTTATCTCTCTGTTTTTTTTTCAAAGGTGCCATGTTCTTTTTAACTTCTTAAAGGGTGGAACAAGTATTTTTATTTTTATTTTTTAGAGAGACAGAGTCTCTCTCTGTCACCCAGGCTGGAGTGCAGTGGCACAATCATAGCTCACTGCAACCTCGAACTCCTGGGCTTAAGTCATCCTCCCACCTCAGCCTCCTAAATAGCTGGGGCTACAGGTGTACACTACCATGCCTGGCTAATTTTTATATTTTTTTGTAGAGATGAGTTCTTGCGTGTTGCTCAGGCTTCTCTCACACGTCTGGCCTCAAGCAATCTTTCCACCTCATTCTGCCAAAGTGCTGGGATTACAAGTGTGAGCCACCACACCTAGCCTTAACAAATATTTATCTGGAATTTTCTTCTCTATTCTGCAGTAATTTTTCTTCATAGCTTGGAATAATTCCATGTCAGATATAAATTCCTCATCTGGTTTTCACTTTTTAACTTCCTTCATTCTTTTCGTTTTCATAGTTTCTATGCATAGGTACCATAGTGGGTCTTTTAAATTTACCTCTCCCTTGAGAATGGGGTCATTCTACCAGAGGCTGCTACTTGCTCAAGAGTGGTCTGCATGGCTGGGGCAAAGGAGTGATCTGAAATGCTGACAGTGTCTGTCCTGGGTCATTCTTTCTGAATATATTCAGAGATAGTCTTTTTTCTAATTTTCATTGTTTGCCCATTTCAGATAAGCAGACCACCCACACAGGAGGTATGTCTGGCTCGCAGAAAATCCTAACTCACAACTGGAGGCCCATCTCATTTACTTTTAGAGAAATCTGGACCATGCCTGAAATCTGGAGGGTTATGTATCATCTCTCAGCATTCTTCTTCAAATTGATTCCAAATTCACCAATTTGGCAGATATTCTCTCTAGTCTGATTGGTACTTGTAGCTCTAGCTATATTTCTTCTAGATGCATTTTTCTTTTCTGCTTTATGTTCCGTGGATTATTTTAATAGGTTACACACTGGAGACTATAGTAAACAGACTTTTTACCAGAAGTCCAATGTAGTCTTTTAAAAATAAAAATCTGATGTTACCCCATCATTCTGCTGCCTCCATCATCTGCTTTCCACCCACATCTCCCCTTTTTCTCCTTCACTCTTCTGCTTCATGTGACACTTGTTCTGTTGCTCTCCTCTGAAAGCTGTGCCCTTGCGCTTCTTGTTCCCTCTCCCTGGAAGGCTCTCTCCTTCACGCCGTTTCTTGGCCAATTCCATTTCTACTTGAAGCTCAGTTTAAGCATCACTTATCGAGGATGCTTTTTCTGAACACTCTAAGCAAATATCCATACGTGTTCCCCCACTTACTATGTCAAATCTCCCTTCAACATCTGTTAGAAAGTCCCATAAGAACATCTCGATTTCTCTCAATGTTGTAATCATGTGGTTTGGGCAACAAATACTGAATTCAAATTTTTAAATTATAATATTCAAAGGAAGTTTCTCTAATCTACACTGGACATGTTCGCAGCAAAGTACAAATGCATTGTGAATTCATTTGAAGTGTTGCATGTTTGTGTCTGTTACAGATATTCACACTAGAACAAGCATAATTTAATGAGAGTGTTTAATAATAATGGGTGTTCCAGAAACCTGTTTCATAAAGTTCACCAGGGCCTAGGCTACTGCCTGGCACATAGAAGATGCTCAATAAATATTTGTTAAACAAATGAATGATTGCTATATCCTTGAGATTTATCTCTCTACCCAATACATAGTCCAATCTACATCCAAATAAAAGGTAACTAGGAGGTAGGAAGTACCATTGGGGTGGAAGAGAGAATAGTCCCTCAAGATAAATCAGGGTGTTGACTCAAGTTGTTTTGTCAGCTTGTCTCATTTTGTTTTCCTACTTCTTATTCATAGGTAACCACTTTGTAAACCTAGATGCAAAATGGAAAGCCTACAGATTCCATGCTAACGAGCTGTGTGAGACATTCTCAGCATCTCTCCAGGCTGTCAAAGGGCTTAGATCAAGCATTCTTACACATTGCCTAAGCTCTTCTCAGACATATTTGCTCCAGGCTTTTATCAACTGCCAGGAAATGAGCAGCTGTGAGTTCCAAACCTAACAGGTATGTGGAGCGGTCAGCATGTCCCATTCTGATCACTCAGGAGAGGAGACATTGTTTTGGGGTCAACTGTGTCTGATACCCCTTCCCTCTGACCAGTGACCAGCAGGAGTTTGTGTAAGCTCTGGGCTCCTGCTAAACTGGGGGATTTCTGCCCAAGGCACTCAGCCTGGGGACTTCTGCCAAGCAGCACTCAGCTTCCCAGATGCACTTAGCTCCCAGTGCCCAGTGTTTTTTGAAATGTCACGTGGGATTCCAAGGGCAGGCACAGATAGCTCCGGTAGCCTCTACTGCCTGCATTACATGAGTTGGCACTAGATTGATTCTAATGTCTGTGCGCTGTTTAAAATGTGGTTCACTGTGATGCTGAATTTGTTTTACCTTTAGAAAGCTCAGAATTTAATTAGCTTTTTTGTTTTCTTTTCAGCCCTTAATAGTATTGAAAGCCAACGGTTTTAACAGCTCTCAGGTTGTAGCTGGGTCTTAGTTTTTGCATGTAGTGCCTTTTTCCAACTAATTACTTTTTAAATGTAGTAAGAGTTCTTTTTTGCTTTAATCTGTCTTAGATTGATATTACTGTGTTGTCTTTTAAATCGTATTAACTATTATTTGGGTGGCTTTAGGGGTTTTCTAAGTGTTAAGATTTCATTCCATTAGCTAGAATCATAGACTTTTAGAGCTAGGAAGGCTCCTGACATATTTTCTAAATCTCTTCTTTTAGAAGTGAAGCAACTGAGGTAAATGTGTTAAGAGACTGGCTCAGGTTCTCTCAACTAGTGGTGAAGTTGGGATTAGGAAAACCAGGTTCTCTGGTGCTCATTTCAAAGGTATTTCCACTATAGATGCTTATCTTTTAAAGATATTTTCACATGTTGTGCCTCAGAGTCACCACCACCACCTTTAATGAAAATACATCTGCCAACTTGTATGGAAAAGAAAAACGCAGTGAATGATAGGTACAGTCAATATAATATTGTTACTTCCTCACCCAAGTACCAAGAAATGCCAATAGCCATGTCAGAAAGTCAACCAATGGTTAATTAGTACTAAGTGTTTCTGTGTGTTGGGTACAGCAACTGCCGAAATGTAGATGCCCTCGTTTCTTATGATAGGGTCACAGGAGATATCAGAAAGTATAACATTCTAGTAAGCATATTGATGATATTGATTATTTAGATTTCAGCAGTGGATATTGAGGGAGTTGCTTGGCATCCAGACATTTTCAAATGACACATGATAGGTTAAATAGCAGAAAAAGCTGGGTGCAATGGCTCACACCTGTAATCTGAGCACTTTGGGAAACCCAATTGAGGATCGCTTGAGCCTAGGAGTTTGAGACCAGCTTGGGCAACATGGAAGATGGGAGAGACTCTGTCTCTACAGATTTTTTTTTTTCAGAAGTTGGCTAGGTGTGGTGGTGTGCACTTGTAGTCCCAGTTACTTGGGAGGCTGAGGCAGGAGGATTGCTTGGGCCCAGGAGATACAGGCTACAGTGAGCTGTGATCACACCACTGTACTCCAGCCTGGGGAACAGAGCAAGACACTGTCTCAAAAAAAAAAAAAAAAAAGAATAGCAGAAAAAGCCTCATGTTCTTTTTCAATTAGTAATACTGATAGAGTACAATTAATTTAGTAAGGCTTTATATTTTTGGTTATAATAATAACAACAATAATAGTTTTCATGGCATCTTATGGTTTGCAAAGCTCTTTCATATTTACAATCTCATTTAATTGTCACAATCAATATTTTAGATAAGTATCTCCCCTTTCAAAAGATGACATTGAGACTCTAAATCTCATAGCTTATCTGGGAGAAATTAGATTTTAATCCAGCTTCTTTCTATTCAAAAATCTCATGATCTTTCCATCGTCATTTCTTTCTTCAAAATTGATTCAACAAGAGGAAAATTATTAGCCTAATCTATCACATTAATAGACAAAGCAGCAAAAACTGGGTTTTGTGGCTGTATTAGAACAGTGGAAACAGCCTTCTTTGGATGAGTTCGTCCTGGTTCACATTTTGCCAATGAGGGAAACCTGTTCCAGAGGTGGGAAATAGCTCGAACTTCCAGTGAGATGGAGGCAGCTGGAACCTGAGTAGCTCAGATATATCTAGCAGACCACAGCGCTTCTCAGAAGACACACAAAGCCATGGCTTGGTCTTTTTATACTTCTGTCTTTTTAGATTTCTGAAGACTCAGAATGGATACACACACACAGAAAAACACATTATATATAAACAATTTAATATTAATCTCAATGGAGAAACCATAGAAGGGCATGCCCCCTCTAAAAAACAGGATATTGTAGTTTTTAATAGAGATTAGAGATACTCTATAATTAGAGATGCTCATGGAAAGAAATTCCCATAGAAAAGGAAAAGAGAAGATCACCTTCTAAAAATCTAAGGGAATCAATCCCAAACTTAAGTAAGGTAAACAGTTGCAGATGTCAAATTGATACATAATAAACAATTCCTGCGAACCTGAGATAAATTGCCAGAAAATATCATAAAATAGCAACACACAACATCAAACAATGTATTCATTCAACAAATGTTTATGAAGAGGCTACTACATGCCAAACCATGTTCTCAGCACTGGGGTTAGGGCCAAGAACAAAATAGACAAATCTCTGTCCTCAGGAAGTTTTCTTTCTAAGGGAGGGAGACAGGCAAAGCATAAGTGTAAATTGTGTCACACCTATGAATCTCAGTGCTGTGGGAACAACAATGAGCAGGGTAAGGGGAACAAGGACTGCAAGCAATGAGCATGAGATGATACTTTTAAATAAGACGGTCCAGGCCATTGAGAAGGTCGCATCTGAGTCAAGGCCTGAAGGTCAGTGAATTCACCATGTGGATATTTGAGAAAAAAGTGTTCAAAAGACAGAGGAATTGGCCAGTGCAAAGGCTGTCAGGTGGGAGCCTCCCTGTGGGGTTAAAGAAACATCAAGGCAGGGAGAGTCCAGTGGCTTCTGTGTAGATGTTGGGCTGGACGAAGGAATATCACACACAGTCTTGGAGACCTTTGTATGATAGGAAGGATTTGGGCTTTACTCTGAGTACTTGAAGAACTGAGGCTTTATTCTGAGTGAAATACAGAGTCACACAGGTATTCAGCAGAGGCGTGTCACAATAGGACTTGGATTCTAAGCAGATCATTCTAGTGGCTGTGTTGAAGCACATCTCCACTGCCACCCTCCCCTCCTCTCCTACTCTGACTCCTACCTCCATCATCACTTACCTCAATTATTGTGGATAATAGAGGCTTGGGCCAAGGTCAGGGCGGTGGAGGTGATAAAAGAGGACAAGTTCTGGATGTATTTTGAGGGAAGAGGCAACAAGATTTCCTGGGGTGGCATGTGAGAAGAAAAGGAGAATGCTCAGGATATAGGCCTTGACCAACTGGACAGATATTTAATAATTAAATAATACAAGACACATGGGAACTACTGGAAGAAGATGCTAAAAGCTTATGATATACTACTAAAATGAGGACTTTAATGGTCTTGTTCCCCTCTGTATCCCTAGAGCCTAGAACAATGCCTGGCACACAACAGGCACTCAATAAATACTTGTTGAATAAATTCATGAAATTAATAGTAATTATTAAAATCTCCTCTCTGAGCTAAGTTTAAGTTGGCAGTTCTCAAACTCTAGCATGCAATGAAATCACCTCATTAAAAAACAGATTGCTGGACTCCATCCCCAGAGTTTCTGATTCGGTAGGTCTGGGATGTGACCCAAGAATTTGCATTTGTAAAAAATTTCTGGGCCATGCAGATGCCACTGCTTCAGGGACCACACTTTGAGAACCACTGGTTTGAACTATGTGGCAATGTGGTCTGACAGTGGGTACCTCCCCACCAAGCCTGAGGCAAGCTCAACTCCTGCTTCTCTGCAGGCTTTCACACCCCAGCCCTTGTACCAGCTTTCATTGGCCAAATGGCTTCATCCCTTCCTGACCACTCAAGGTTCTTTCTCATTCTTGCTCCTTTGAACTTTTCCTTTTGGTTTTCAGTATAGCCATGTAGTTTTACATTTATAAGTAACATTTCTCCCTCTTTCTCTCTCTGTCTTTCACACACACACACACACACACACACACATTAGCGTTAATAAGCAAAATACTATACCTCATTAAGGCTCTAATGTGTATTTCTTCCAAATAAATATTAACTCTTTATTCTTACCCTATCTGATAGTTTGCCTTTCCATTTTGGTTATGCAAAAACAATTTTAATTTTTATGTGGTAAAATCTGCCAGTCTTTGTTCTTGTGATTCCTGCAATCATTTGTAACCTTCCTTGCTTTCCCCTAAACACCAGAAATTTTATGTTTTTTGCTTATATGTTTGTGTTTGATTGAATTCTTATATATTTGGCCATTTACTACATCCGGAATAATTCACCTCTGATATGAAATGGAGTATAAATGAATTTTCCCCCAAATGGTAATCTACTGCCTAGCACAAGCTGTAGCACACAGTGCGCCCTCACTGAATGTTTCCATGATTACAGAACACATCTCCGTGCTTTGTAGCAAATAATCCTACTCTTCTCCCATTGAATTCTGTTTTATTTGGGGATTTGGATAAGCACAGTGTTCACCATCTTACCAGCCACCACCACTGCCTGCCTATATACACCCTATAGGAAAAGCAAATTTCTCCTGGAAATATTCAGTCCCTCTCAAGCAGTAAATCAGCAGTCAGAGCCCATCAGAAAATAATTAAGCATTAACTAGAGGCCAAAATCCAAATACCCCTATAGATTTCTGACAACAAACAGAGACATGAGAATTGGAAAGGAAGAGGTAAGACAACCTCTATATGCAGATGGTCTGATTCTATATGTAGAAAACCCAAGGGAATTTAGAAAAAAACTTACCACAGATAATAGAATAATGTAGTTAGTAGCACATTATGAAAATCAATATATTCATTCCCCCTGATAGTCTTTTTCCAGAATATCAGACCCAAAAAATGAGGAGACTACACTCTATTGAGAGGCATCAACCTTGTTACAACCAAGAAATCCTTTGTTGATTTTATGGGGGGTTTTGGACGCCATTTTTAGAAAGCAAATGTCTACCAAATAAACAGCATTTATTTTTTAAAAATTCAACATATGGAAATCAATAGCTTTTCCTGAATCTAAACATGAATAAACTGCATCTCAATCCAAACTGAGGCATATTTTACAAAATAACTGGTCCATACTCTTCAAAAATGTCAAAGTCAAGAAAGGCCAAGGAACTGTTCCAGAGTAAAGAAAGTAAAGAGACATGACAACAGAATGCATTGCATGATCCTGAAATAGATCCTGAGCTGGGGAAGAGGAGGCAAAGAGGATAAGCAACATTATTGGTTCAATTGATTAAAGTTAAATATCAGTTGCAGATTAAATAGTAGAGTATGATATTAAATTTTATTAACTTGAAAACTATATTGTGATTATAAAAGAAATGTTCTTGTGCTTAGGAAATACACACTGAAGTATTTAGGGGTAAAAGAACACAATATCTCTAACTTTCAAATGGTTTGGGGGAAATATATATATATATATATATATATATATATATATATATATGAGAGAGAGAGAGAGAGAGAGAAAGAGAGAAATGATAAAACAAATGGGTCAAAATGTAAACAATGACTGAACCTGGGTAAAGGCATATATGTACGTGCCTTGCACAATTTTTTGGATTTTCTATACGCCTGGAATTATATAAAAATAAAATGTTTTATAGAAAAGTTGTAACCTCATGTTTACAAACATAAACTGGTTAGAAAATAAAATGGAAGATAAGGCCTATTTACACCAACACCTAACATAAATCTAACAAATGTCTAAAACCTTACGAGAAAAGTGAAAACATTCTCCAAAGACACACACACAAAATTTTATAAACAAAATAATATTCTTGGTTAGATAGTCTCAAATTCAGAAAGATGTCAATTCTCCCTAAATTAAATTGCAAATTTATTGTGATCCTAATAAAAATATTTTTTTTTCTTCTGGAGCTTAACAAGTTGATTATATGGTTCATTTCAAAAGCAAGTAAGCAAAAGTAATTAGGATATCTCTGGAAAAGAAGCACAAGTGGAGAATGGGGCTAGCCCTAGCAGATATTAAAACATGTTTTAAAGGTTCTATCATTAAATGTGTCGTATTGGCATACAAATAAAGCAATAGAACTGAATAGAAACTCCAGAAATCAACCCAGTTTCATAAGAAAATTTAATGTATGATGAAACAAATCAGTAGTGCAAAAATGATTTGGAATAAATGGATAGCCAGATGGAAAAAGATAAAATTTGAACCATCCCTCACATCATGCACTAGGATAAATTCTAATTGGATCAGAGATTTAAACGTGGAGAGAGGGAGGGAGGGAAGGAGGGAGGAAAGGAAGGAAGGAAGGAAGGAAGGAAGGAAGGAAGGAAGGAAGGAAGGAAGGAAGGAAGGAGAGGAGAGGGGAGGGGAGGGGAGGGCAGGGCAGGGGAGGGGAGGGGAGGGGAGGGGAGGGGAGGGAGAAGGGAAGGAAGGAGGGAAAAAAGAAACCATATTGGTATTAAAAGTATGGGTCAGTCCTTCCATAACCTAGGAATGGGGAAAGGTTTTACCCTATGACTCAAAATCCAAAAGCCATAAGAAAAAGATCGATAGATTTGACTATACAAAAATTAAAAATCATTAAATTTTGCATAGCAGGACACACCAAAAAATAGTGAAAGGCAAATGACAAGCTGAAGAAAAAGAAACATTAAC
This sequence comes from Homo sapiens, assembly GCF_000001405.40. NCBI lineage: Eukaryota > Metazoa > Chordata > Mammalia > Primates > Hominidae > Homo > Homo sapiens. The sequence continues at coordinate 99,458,067 of NC_000009.12, forward strand.
AACTTGTATCACAGACAACAGGGCAATCCTAATATATAAAGCACTTCTAAAAAGAGAGACTAAAAAGAGCAACAACCTATAGAAAAATGAGCAAGAGCTATGTACAGACTGGCATAGAAAAAGAAATGCAAATAGCTCTTGATCATATGAAAAGATGCTCAATATAACTTACAATAAGGGAAACACAAATGAATAGGACACTGAGATAGCATTCCAAAAGTTTGACGACTGACAAGATTAGTGAAACAGGCACTGTCATGCATTGCTGGTGGGAATATAAAATGACATAATATAATCACTACAAAAGGGAATTTGGCCATATCTATCAAAATCATATATGCATTTACCCTTTGACCCAGCTATCCCACTTCTAGGAATCTATCCCAAAGACATAGTGGCAAAAATACCAGAAGAGATATGCACAGGGCTACTCACTGCAGTATAATTTTCTATATCCTTTTGTCCAATAATTGATTGAATAAACTATGATGCATTTACATAGTTGAGACCTAAAAAGGGATAAATATGTATGTGTCTCTGTGTGTGTGTGTGTGCGCGTGTGTGTTTCCTAAAATATACACACACTTTGCTGGGTGCAGTGGCTCACGCCTGTAATCCCAGCACTTTGGGAGGCCGAGGCGGGCGGATCATGAGGTCAGGAGATCTAGACCATCCTGGCTAACACGATGAAACCCCGTCTCTACTAAAAATACAAAAAATTAGCCGGGTGTGGTGGCGGGCACCTGTAGTCCCAGCTGCTGGGGAGGCTGAGGCAGGAGAATGGCGTGAACCTGGGAGGCAGAGCTTGCAGTGAGCTGAGATCGCACCACTGCACTCCAGCCTGGGCTACAGAGTGAGACTCCGCCTCAAAAAAAAAAGAAAAGAAACGAAAAGAAAAGAAAAGAAAAGATATACATACACTTCGTCTTAGCTATAATTCTACTTCTAAAATTTTATCCCATACAAATGATTGAAAATAAATTAAAGTTTGACCGCCTGGATGTTTTGTCATATGGAACAATTAGAAAAAACTTACATGTCCCATAGCAGGGGGTTGGTTAAGTAGAGTGTTTGTAGTGAATACAAAATAATTGGAGAGCTCCCTTCTCCAAGAAGGCTTCCCTGATGCCCCACATTTACACAGCTCACTGTGAGTGCCTCTCTATGGCACTCATCACCTCATGCCTTGCTTTTGAATGATTTGTTTAGGGATGTGTTTCTTCCCTAGACTAAAGTTAATGCCATTCACTACACCAGTGAGCAGTTTGGGAATACCATGTGTTCTGATTCTGGCCAAGGAGCTGTGTGGGAGAGGTTTTTAGAAAGGCTTTTTGGAAAAGTTTTCTTATCCCAGGAGAAGACCACAGGAAAGACAATGCCTTTCTCTTCAAGGCATCTCCATGCTTGAACGGGATGCTTGGAACTGCTGCAGCCAATTGCTTCTGGCCTGAGGTTGAATTTAACACTAGGAATGGCAGAGCAGAGAAGTGGGGGTCCTTGCTGACATCCCTGAGCTGCTGATTCAATCATCCCTGTGGCCCACCTATCCTCTGGAATCCCTGGAACATGAGAGAATGCAAAAATACATTTCCTTTCTGTAGAAGTTAGTTTGGGTTTCTGATCACGGTGGTTGAAAGCCTCCTAAATGAGTCACTAGAAAATGGTGAGCAGTCCAAGCTGGCTAGAGCAGAAAGTACCTGAAAGGAGCTGAAAGGAGAGGTGGCTGGGAAGGTAGGCTGGGAGCAGACCTCACAAGCCCCTGCATGCCAGGCCAAAGAATCTGTAAATAATGGGGAGCCATTGACAGTTTTGGTAAGTAATGGGGAGCAGACTCTCGGAACAGATGGGATAAATATTGGTGCAAATGCATGGTGTAGCTAGCAAAGGACCCAATTAGATTCAGACTTCTCTCTGCTGAGAGAAAAAAATGCATCTTTCGAGCAGCATCTTAACCAGACTGGGAACAGTATGGAAAGGACGTGGGCGTGAGTGACGATCAGGTTCCCGGGCATTGGTCTCAATGGTCACACTCATACACAAATGCTGCCCTTGGCTGCAGCCTCACCAGCGTCATGTGTGAAACCAAACAGTTGGTTTCTCCGCTTTCCTTGGCAATGGCAAAGCCCCAGTTGGAGCCCCGTGTTTGTGCTAAACTCCAGGCGGCACAGTTCTGATTTATAACTTTTTAAAATTATTATAAATGTGATTTCTTTTCATTGTAGAAAAATTGGAAAATACATATAACAAAAAGAAAAAAATAGTTTTTAATCTAGCACCCAAAGACAAATCACTGATAACATTTTGTTGAATCCATTCCAGACTTTGTCTCTCTCTCTGGGTATACATTGAGTAGACAAAAACGGTATCATAACCTATAATCTTTTTTTCACTCAACAATATATTGTGAGTGACTTCTCATGTCAATTAATATTTTCTACAACATTATTCTTAATGACTCTATGAATTTCATTCTAATAAAATATCATGATTTAACCACTGTCCATGGTTCAATATTGATACTATTTCTAGTGTTTGCTATTATATACATAAATGATGTTGCAATCAGTAGCCTTATCCTTTTAGAATGGAATTCCAAAGTAAAATTGCTATACAAAGGCAAAATAACATAAAAATAAAGTTAAAAAAATTCAAATTCTCTTTTTAATGAATTATGTGGTTCTCCAATGTACATTTTTCCAAGCTTAGATAAATGTCTAGATAATTCATATCTATATCTATATATAAATATATACATATCTAGATAATTTATAACTTAAATATGAGTATATATTTAGAATATATATAGAATATATATGATTTGTTCTTCATAATAAAAATAGAACTGTTGTGCTCATCTGAAAATTCAGAAGAAGTATATGTCATCTTGCCCTCCCAACACACACATCTTCCTCCTAAAATTGAATGGGACTAGGTTTTCAAAGCAGAGCTACCGAGCCAACTGCTATCAACAAGATCACCCAGGCATAAAGAGAATCAAGTCATGTTCAAGATGTGAGAGGATTTAGAGGGTCCTCCCTGACTTGGGGATTGGGTGGCTTTTTTAGAAGGTCCAGAAACATCCTTATGAACCAAGCCATGGACTAGATGTGAAGCCTCCCTTGTCCCCTCTCCTACCCTGGGGCCCTGGAGAGGTGCTCTGCTGGCAGGAAGAAGCTTTCAAGCTTGTAGAGTCTCCTCTGATCCTCCACTGTCATGAACTGTACCTATGTGCAGTCTCACCCTAGGGCACAACAGAGACCTAGCATCCCCAGCCTCTTCCACCAGATGATTCACATCCCAGAGGCTCTCCTTATTGCTTCCTCTGGATCATGAGTGCATCAGGACCAAGGCCTTCAAGAATGATGCAGACAACAGCAGCCTCATGCTGAACAATTCAGCATGTTCAGAGGGTGCCATGAGACTCCATCATCTCAGCTGATCCTCCCAACTGCCCAGTGAGGTAGGTACAATAGGCATCCTCATCCCCAGTTTGTAGGTGAAGAGACTGAAGCTCAAAGAAGTGAACTGATTCACTCAAAGTTGTAGAGCTGTTTACCACTGATACGGTTTGGATCTGTGTCCCACCAAATCTCACGTCAAATTGTAATCCCTCATGTTGGAGGTGGAGCCTGGTGGGAGGTGATTGGATCATGGGTGTGGATTTCTCATGAACAGTTTAGCGCCGTCCCCTTGGTGGTGTTCTCATGATAGCAAGATCTGATTGTTTAAAAGTGTGCAGCACCTCCCCGACTCACTCTCTCTTGCTCCTGCTCCCGCCATATGAGACTGTTTGCTCCCCCTTCACCTTCTGTTGTGATTGGAAGCTTCCTGAGGCCTCCCCAGAAGCAGAAGTTGCTATGCTTCCTGTACAGCCTGCAGAACCGTGACCCAATTAATCTCTTTTCTTTATAAATTACCAAGTCTCAGGTATTTCTCTGTAGCTATGTGAAAACAAACTAATATAGCCACAGAGCCAGGACCTGCCCTTAAGACTCAGGTTAGGAAACGACCCAGTTACCACTCTGAGTTTCTTTTTGCCAGAGCCATGCTATTTGCACTCCAATGAGATGTTCTGTCCTATATTCTCATATCATTTCTTTTTTTTTTTTTTGTCATGGACCCAGGGCTCTCAAGTGGGTTTGCACACTCACATTTGTGGCCATGGATGAGATGAAAATTATCTTTTCAATCGGCCTTTCTCTAATCCCTCTTCTATCTGCTTCTCTGTGATGTAAAGGTCTACATCAATCATGAGCTCCATTCCTCCACCACCAACAGTTTCTGTGATACTCAAGAGATAAATAATAATATTGCTACCAGCTAATGCTTCCTGAATGCTTCCTGTAGACCAGGCATTATTCTAAGCATTAGTATCTCGATACTGATTATGACATGATGAGTAGTGCTGGGTAAATCGGAGTCCTTGCTCTGGCCCTCACACTTTAATAGATCTACTCTGTGCCTGCTCTGTCTTCCTTCTCATGGGTTGAGGAGCCTACAAAGCCAAGGATTCAATAAGCCAAGGAATTGTGACCCTCAAATATCGTGGACTTCAGAGCTTGAACATTCTTAAATCTATTTCCAGGGCCAAACAGATCGTTCACACAAGATACATTGCTCTGCTGGTGTGTATATCCTGGGCCACAGGATTTCTAAGGAGATGCTGCTTACAGAAGGCAAAGGGGTGTGTGTGTGTGTGCGTCTGTGCATGCTTGAAGCTATGTGCTAGGCCCTTCAAAGTATAAGAGATAGGGCTTGGGTAAGAGAGTACTATTGGTAATAGTACTCCATTTGGACTCTTGCCCCACTCACTGCAAATTTTAGGGGAAAGCCTACCTACAGGAGATAGGTACTATTAAAAATCCCCGTGTAGGGATTTGAGCCACATAGGCTATAAGAAACCCCAGGGTCACACGGCCAGCAAGAAGTGGATCCAGGTTTTGGATGCTTAAGCACCGTACTTACTTCCTCCTACGCCTTCTCAATTGCCATGACTTCCTGGAACACTGCAAAAATACAGAGAAAGACAAATTATATTGACCTCATGATGCTTGCCAGCATTAGGGAAGAGGCAAAGGGACATCTCAGGCCCTATCCGAAAGGAGTATGTTAAATGCCATAACCTCCTTTGCATAGCAGGTTTTTCACAGTTTATTCCCCACCTCCAATCAACAAGACAATCCATTTCATCTGATAATCAGCAAGAGTGTTAGCTGGAGAAACCAGAGTAAGCGGCCAAAAGACCTTTGCTCTATTGGAGCTGTTCCTCCTTGGAAATCTCACTCAGTGATCTCAGCTGGGAACTCTGCGACAAAGACCACGTGTCTGCAAGAACCAGAGCAGCTCCTGATGGACCTGGGTGCCTCCACTGTCTTGAAGCCAAAGACATTTGATCTAAGATATGTCCTCCCCCTTGTCCAGCTTCAATGAATTGGGCAAACACCATTTTTTAAAATAAAGCATTAAATATCAAATAAGAGAAGATAAAGTCAAAGGCTGGCTATCCCAGAAACCCCCATCCATAGATTAAAAAGACCAGGAATAATGTTAGCAAAAAGGGGAAACAATATGTAATTAAAACTATTGCCAAAGGCAGTTGACTTCAAACACCTTGTAGTTCACTTCAATTCCGTTGTGAGTTGCTCTTTAAAACCTTTTGGGTGACAAACCTTAAAAGTGTCATCTCTGCCCTTTTGCTTGTTGCTATGATACACATAGTACACACCCAGCATCCAAGACATGGCTGTGTTGCTGACTTTCTCCATGATGTTTTCCAGCCTTTCCATTAGTTCATCATGCAACCTATGAAATGGGACTGCAAGTCATAGTATAGTGTGACTATAATTTGGGGTTTCAGTTCCAGAATAACAATGGACAAATAGCATTCAAAGAGGCCAGGACAGAGTGGCAGACTGAAGCCAAAGCTGTTTTTTGGAGTCAGGGTGAGCAATGCCATGAGCTGAGTCAAGCACAAACTAGAGTCAATATCAAGGCAGTGACAGGGCAGGGATTTGCTGGGCAAACCAAACCATCCCACCAGGTTGTGATTCCCCAGCATGAGGTCCCTTTGCGGAGCTAAGCACATGCCTTCCTGATCCTTCTATGGGCTGTCTTAAAGGCACCACTCACCACCTGCTAAGGGATTGAATCAATGAACCACCTGTGGGTCAAACCATGGCACTGGAGTCACTCTGCACAAGGGTAAGACCTACAAATCAAATCACTGGGTACCTAATATATTCATTCTGTTCAGCCACATCCATTCGCTCATTTAAAAATACTTTTTGAGCACTGGCCATATTCAAGTCCTGTGCTAGGCACCGAGGATTCAGAGGTAAATAAGGCATAGTCCCTGCCCTCAGGGAGGGAACATTTCAGTGGGACTGAGACATATGGACTCAGACCACATCAACAGACTGTGTTAGTTACAGCGATAAGGGCCCAAAAAATTATTCTGAAAGACTTCTGTGTATCACACGGAAGACTTCGTGGAAGAAGTGGCTTTCAGTGGCAAAAACTACAACTACTTTTGCACCAACCCAATAATTCCAAAGACGCACAAGTGAACTGGATGAAGATAAAGTGGCATGGGAGTATTCTGGTAGAGGAGGCAACTTGTCCAAAAGTGAGAGTTTCCTAGACTATGCCAAGAACTGCTTGGAATTCAGAGAGCCCAGAGCAAAGGATGGGGGAGAGGTGGGGGTGGAGTAGGGGGGCAGGCGGTGAGAGCTGAAGCTCAAGAGGCAGCCAAGACCATGCTCAGGGCGGTGGACCTCATCCAGAAGATAACAGGAGCCACTGAAATGTTTTAGGCAGAAAGATGGCCAGACTCACCTTTTACAAAGATCACCATGGCGAATGGCTTGGAGGGGGCAAGGCTGGGGGCAGGGAGACCTCACCTCTGAAAACTAATAAACAAATTTCAAAATAAACAAGATTTTCTTTTTCTGCTTCTCATCTGGCTGTTATTTATTCATTAACATTTACTGAGTATCCACTCAGTATCAGGCCCTATAGTAGGCACCAGAGGTAGAAAGAATAGGACATTGGCATTGCTATGGCGTGCCTGACCACCTTGCGCAGCTCTGTGCATGTGATGGGTTTGTTCAAGGGTGCTTGTCACTGGAACTTAAGCACATGGTACTCGCTATGAAAGGCACCACAAAACCTCCCGCTTAAGCTTTGGTTTTGATGAGAAGGCAGCACTCCCATCCCCCTTAATCCAATTAAAAGAGCTCTCCCTAGCTGTGAATGCCAGTCTGGCCACGCAAAAATCTCCTGGCCATAGAGCATGTCCCATTCCTCAGCCTGGCCTGGGCTGGTGGGCCAGTACTCCTCCCCTGAGCTGTTTCCATGGGCTGCTGGCCATACTCTGAAAAATGCACAGGTTGCCAAACTGTCAGCAAAAGCTTTAATGAATGGTTCTAATTACATTCAAGTAGCAGAGCCCACTGCCATTTTAATCAAATCTGGGCCTGGCAAGCTTTTTGGCAGGAATACAAGAGAAAGCCTCATGAAAATCCTGCCAAAACACTAATCACCTTTTATCCGAAATTTGCTTGATGGAGGCCTGGATGTAAAATGCTTAGGGGGAAGGAAAAAAAAAACCACCAACAACATTGTTTGGATATTTTAAGGAGCTTATTTTAGGGCTTGCCATAAATTATTCCATGTGGGGAGGAGAGAAAATTCCAAATCAGGAGTTGCCGGGTGACTTCCCTTCAGGAACACAGTCCTCACAGAGAGGGCGAACCCCTGCGGGCTGAGACCCAGGCACCGTCAGCCAGGTCCTGGCTCACACTCCACACCACCAGAGACATATCCACAAGGCCTGGTCTGAGACCTTCCCCACATCCAGCTTTGGGTTACAAAAGGCATCCAGCCCTGCTCTGTGTCTTCGCGTCATCTCAGACCTATATGCTGACCCTAACTGGAATTCATCCTACCTAAAGTTGGGTGGTAATTAATCTTTTTTTTTTTTTTCCAAAAGATGGCTTTCATAGTAACCACTGTGATTCTCAAAAAGGAAAGGGCTTTCTCTACAAAATCATTCAGAACAAGTGTACAGGCAATACAGGAAACTAAAACCCAGACAACTAGCAACTAGATTCTAGTCAGGGCAGAATAAATACACAGAAAGGAAAGGTTTGATGGCAAACCAGGTTCCTCTCCCCTGGGGCAGAACAAGAGGAGAAGGACTCAAATTGCAGCAAGAGGGAATTCATTTACAGATAAAAAAAAAAACTTCCTGACAATGAGGATAGACAGTGAATAGGGAACAGAGATAAGGGGTAAAATCTCCTTCACTTACTGACTCTAATCTCGGATACACTGTATCCCATCTCCAAAAGCTGGTTGCCCTCAGGTAACAAAACAAAGGTCTCTACCATCTGATTTTATTACCTTAAACACCTCAGCCATACTTCACCCAGTGGTTACCCCAAGCTAGTGGTTGGATTTTTTAACCTTAGATTGTATTTTCCACATATTTTTAATGTGGAAAAATAAAAAATAGTGAGATGTTTTTCCCCATAGTGAGGGCCCATAGTGAGATCTCTAAGAGCCCTGGGATACGAGGGATTCTGGGGTCCTTGAAAGTGTTTGACACATGCATTTCAAAGTTCCATTTTTAAATCCAGTCCCTGCCATTGACCTGAGACCTAGCTATAGGGCCTGAGGCTCAGGTTTTCAGTTTTTGTAACTTATAAACTGAAGATTAAAATACTTGCTCTGCCTATACTATAGAGTACTTCTAAGGATTCAATAAGATGGTGTATATAGAAGTGCCCTGCAAACATAAAGCCACTTTACAAATATTTGCTCTTTTTGAAATTTTAGTACAAATGTAGCTATAGAAGAGTCTGAAGTCTGAAGTTGAGTCTTGAATGCCACTCATTCACTGGCTACATGAACTTGACCTTTGTTTCCTCATGTGTAAAATGTGTATAGCATTGCCTCATAGACTTGTTGAGAGAACTAGGTGAGATAACAAATGTGAAAGCACTATGAAAAATAAAAGAGAAATATGATTACACCAGAACATGCACACTATGGGGCCCAAATTATACTTGTTGGATCCTGGAGATATGCCAGGAATTAAAAATTTATTCAAAGCCTGCAGCTTAATTTAAGGGGAATGAACATCTCAATGGACGTGAGGTTCAACAGAATGAATTCGCATATAAGCAATAGTTTCTCTGACTCCATTCAGGTGATGGAGTACAGCTCAGGCTACCACATCGCTAGAAGACCAGGTTGGGTGTCCAGGCCTCCAGATCATCCCTTCTGGAAGATAAAAGCATATTTAAAACCATAGAATATAATTCCTCCAGGGCTTAGGTAACAAAGGCATTTTGTAAGTAAACTAAAAGGGATTGACTTTTTTTTGTTTTTGTTTTTGTTTGTTTGTTTTTACTCTTTAGCTGTGAAATAATTGAAGGTCATAGAATAAGCCTCCCTTTTCTATGTGAAGAATTTGGACTTAAAAAAAGTCCAAAAGATAGAAGTGTGGGGACCACATAACCAAAGATGAATACAAAAATGTGGTGGGGGCACTCAGAACAGTGTTGACAAATAGGCCAGAGTGCAGAGGGGTATAGCGAGTTCTCCAGTAAGGACCCATAAGGAAGGACAGGAAAGTGGATGGGGGTAGAAACTTGCAAGAACAGAGTTAGGAAAGCTAAGGACTAAAATAAGCTCAGAGATAAAAAACAGAAACAAGAAGAGGAGGGGAAAGAATAGAGAAAGAAGAGGAGGAAGATGGGGCAGAGGACAGGAAGGAGAAGAAGAATAAAAAGAAGAGGGGAAAAAAAATCCAACAAGCTGGACAGCAGCATTCCTGACATGAGATACTTGAACATGAATTTTGTGGAATCTTATTAAGGGCTGTAACAAGGAAAAGAACAACTCTGGTCAAGTAAGTTTCAGAATTGTTGGATTATACAACCAATAAAGTTTCAGAGACTTTAATATGCTAATGTATACTGAATATCTTTAAGAACAAGAAGATAAGTTTGTATATTTCCCAGATTTATTTGACCACAGGAGTTTGTTTTGTTTTGTTTTGTTTTGTTTTGTTTTATAAGGCATCTTGCAGAAACAGTACTTCACAGAACCATTGGGCTTAAAGAACACTGGTGGCTGGGCGCAGCGGCTCATGCTTATAATCTCAGCACTTTGGGAGGCCGAGGTGGGCAGATCACTTGAGATCAGGAGTTTGAGACCAGCCTGGCCAACATGGTAAAACCCCATCTCTACTGAAAATACAAAAATGAGCTGGGTGTGGTGGCAGGTGCCTGTAATCCCAGCTACTGGGGAGGCTGAGGCAGGAGAATTGCTTGAACCTGGGAGACGGAAGTTGCAGTGAGCCAAGATCATGCCACTGCACTCCAGCCTGGGCAACAGAGTCAGACTCTGTCTCAAAAAAAAAAAAAAGAAAGAAAGAAAGATAGAAAAGAAAAAAAAAGGACACTGGTTTAAAGATAATATGGTTCTAGACCAAAGGAGCCTCTGGAACATTAGAAATTCTGGCCATTCCATTAATTCATTTATTTATTCATTCAACAAACATTTGTCAGCATTTACTATATAGTAGGCCCTATCTCATGCTCTGGGAATAATGAACAAAACAGATGAGGCCTTTGCTCCCACGGAAGTTCTATTTTGTGGGGAAAAATGTGAACATGTAAACAAATATATGAAGAAGATTATGGTGGGCTGAAAAATAACCCTCCAAAAATGTCCATGTTTTACTTCCTAGAATATATGAATGTTACCTTATACAGCAAAGGGGATTTTGCAGATGTGATTGAATTAAGCATCAGGATGGGGAGATTATTCAAGGTTATCCAGGTGGTCCCTAAATAAAATCACCAACGGCCCTTATAAGAAGGACATGCCTGTTAATCCCAGCAATTTGGGAGGCTGAGGCAAGCAGATCGCTTGAGCCCAGGAGTTCAAGACCAGCCTGGACAACATGGAGAAACTCAGTCTGTACAAAAAATACAAAAAGTAGTTGGGCCACTGCACTCCAGCCTGGGCAACAGAGTGAGACCCTGTTTAAAAAAAAAGGACACACAGGATGATCAGGCAGGGAAGGCGGTGTGATGATGGAAGCAGAGGGGGAAAAGGTGATCTGATGTGGGGCCACAAACCAAGGAATGTGGGCAGCCCCTAGAAGGTGGGAAAGGCAGCCATGGGATTCTCCCACAGAGCCCCAGTTGGAACTAGCCCCCCTAACACCTTGATTTTAGCTCCATGAGATTCCTTTCAGACTGCTGACCTCCAGAAATGTAAAACGATAAATTTATGTTGCTTTTAAAGTCACTAGATTCATGGCAATTTGTTACAGTAGCAACAGGAAACTAATACTAAGATCCATATTAGCTGATGAGAAGACCTTTGAAGAAAATAAAAGGGGATGTGATTGTGACTGATCGGGCAGGGACAGGCTGCTGCTTTCAACCGGTGGTCAGGGAAGGTCACTCTAAAGAAGCATTAGTTGACAGTGACACTCAAGGCAGCACTCCCCAGCTTCTCTGTTACCTTGTTCCCTCCAGCAGGGAAAGGGCTCATTGGCAGTTGATTCTTTGCTACTGTTGGTACAAACAACAGAGACTCAGCTTCCTTCAAGGGATGAGCAGTTTATTAAAATGATACACATGAAAATAAAGAAACTAAGATTATCATCCAGGGCCAAGTCCCAAGGAAATGGAAGGAAAGCAGCTGCCCAACCAGACTCCAAGAAAGATGAGGCACTACCTTGTAGCCACAGAGTTTTTCAGAAATAGAAAAGTTACCCAGGATCCATAGCAGACCTGACATTAACAATACTGGAAATGGGGTGCCTCAGCCTAAGCCTTCCCATTAAGCCAACTCCTATCTCTGCCTCTGCTTCTCCTCATGTGTCTTTCTCTTTGCTCCAAATGCCAAGGGATCACTACCCTAAACTTTTGCATTAAACTCCCCAAAAGAAAAAAAATCCAATTGGTCCAAATCTTCATCATCATACCTCATTTGTCTTTGAGCATCCTACAGGCTGGTTGCCTGTGGGTCAAATGCCCACTCTGATTCAATCAGCTATGACCAGAGTAGCCAGGTCACCAATGCATAAGGAACTGGTTAGGACCACAGCAGAGGGAGGTGGGGGTCAGACTGTTTCTTCCTGAAAAGGCTGTGAGTGGAACTCAGCACAAGGACTTATCTCAATAAGTCCAAATTCCTAAAGAGGAAAACCACTTATATCTTACCTAAACAATGTTAAACACACACGCGCGCTCACACACACACACACACACACACACACACACTAACAGTAAAATAACAGTACCAAAATAACAGTACCAAAACTTACATATACCTTCCTGTCTTTTGAGTTGTTAAAGCATCAACTTTAACCAAGATGATTTAGAAAAGATTTATTCATCCTGGTGTCTGACCCCAAAGGTTTTTTTAGAAGCCACTTGCATCCCGAGCTCTTGGAAAGGTGGAAAGGTAATCTGAATGTGTAGAAGGTAGATGTGAGGGCAGCTGGTCCAGATGAACTTCGACACGTGTTTCTTGCTAAAATGCACGATTCTATGACAGTTCAGGCCGATTTCCATGGGTTGGGGCAGGAATAGAGAGCCACAAGGAACCAGAGGTCAAGAAAAAGCAAGAAAGTCCAGTTTCTCTTCCTTCACCAAAGGCCAGAGATAAACCTAGGTGGGGGTTTAGTGGAGGTGAGAGAAAGCAGACAGGTGCTTCTGTCCTCTCCCTTCAGCAGAACCCATAGACAGAGCCAAGCTGTGACTGTGGGGATAGCAGTGAAGTTTCTATGGGGTCCTGAACACCATGAAGGATGAGATGGCAGAAGGACTCCATCATTTTGGGGACCTCAACCATGAAGGTCCTTTCATAGTTTATCTCCTTGAATCCTTACTCTAGACCAGAGTGGCAAGGAAATATTTATTAACCCATTTCACTGATGAGGAAATAGAGGGTTATGGAGGTAAGTACCAGTGATGTCCAGGGATCCCTGACCTCTCTATAAAGCATCACCTCCGCCTGGGCAACTCACAATGCAATGAGATACTGATCCCAACCCCCTAGTCCCCGCCACACACACCCATCTGCCAGCTCCCTTCTTCTCCTATCATACACACAGCTTTCTGTGAGCAGACCTTCTGGATCTGATAACCACTATTGTACTGCAAAGAATTAGAGAAAACAGTACCCTCAGAAGACTGACAAAATCTGGCCTGGGACATATGATCACCAGGCACAGCTTGGGGAGGAGGAGAAAGAGGGAGCCCAGGTTTCACTACTTACAAGCAGAGAGCCCTCATCAATGCCATTTTACCTCTAACCTCCCTCCAGCCCTTAACTGCAAAAACATCCTCATCTGCCTGCCATCTTAGAGAGCTAAGGTAAGCATTAGTACAAAGACTGTTTTTGAAAGTGCTTAGCAAACAATAAAGCATTCTTTGAAGATTATTGTAGGCAGAAGGAAGGCTATGTGGCCATCTCCTGGAAGCTGAATTCTCGCATCCACTCCCTCACTGTCCCAGGTGACTCCCTGCTCTCTCACCTCCAATTCTAGCTACCATCAGCAGTAGCAGAAGGTAGGAGCTTTGTCGGAGCATTGTTATGTCCTCATCAGCTCATTGAATCTTAATCGAGTGATTGTACGGTATTTTACTGTCTATGCATGTTTTCATTATAAACCATTTCATTTATTCCTCATAACAATCCAATGTTTATAATAACCCTTTCAAGTGAGCTCTACGGGCCAAGCGCTGCTGTTAGCACCTTTATGTGCATCATCTCACCTAATCATCACAACAATTCTATGAGGCAGGTGTACTATAATTATCTCCTTATTCCAGATGGGGCTACTGAAGCACAGAGAGGTCAGGGAACTTCCTCAAGTTCACACAGTAAGTGTCAGTGTTGGGATACACTCCCAGGATGATTGGCTTCAGAAACCATCTCTTTCTATTGAGGTAATCCGGTTCTCAGCAGTTTCCTCATAGCATCAATTTCATTTTATTTTACACATGCTATCTCATTTAACCATCCCAACAGCCCTGTGAGGCAGGAAGTTCCATTAAACTGCAAAGGAGCAGTAAACTGATTTTTTGTGAATCCTCACACTAGCAGAGCAGGATTCATACCCGGGTCTTCTCACTCTTAAGTCTGGTGCTCTTCCAGACACACGCACCTCTCTGAGAAGAAAGGTAAACACAGGCTCTTCCCAAGAAGCTCTGGAGATGATTGAGATAACAAAGGGCCAATGGTTTGATTTTCTTTGGAAGACAGTTCTTAAGAAACTTAACATTTGATTATTGTTCCTGCATTTTCAGCGAACGGCAGCAGTGAGGGGGTGATGCAAATATCAATCAGCCGACGAGCACATCAGTCATCTTCTGAGTAAGTGCACGCACCAAATTAGCATTTCAGAAGCAAGGCAGAGAATAAGATTTCTAATAAGTCTCTCTCCAAAATATACACCAGCCTTCAGAGATTCATTTCAGATATTTCTAACATTCAACATTCATAGGATTTTCACACAAGGAAGTTAGCAATCTTCAAACTCTCCTAGGTAGTCAGCATCTCTGTTTAGAAATTGTAACAATAATAATTCTGAAGAAATAGTAAATTCTACTTCCTTCTTTTTCAATTTCACATACCCCACAGTGGTCATATGTGGGATGTTGTTGATTTCTAAAGAAAAATCTAAAGGTTTCACCAGTGGAATTTTTGCAAGGGTGGAAACTTACTAAAGGTAACTGCTTAGTCAAATCAATGACATCATTCACCATAGATATCTAAAGAAGCAAGATGTGATCTTTTACCTTGAATGGCTTGGGATGACCTAGGGACACCAAAAGACATGTAATAATAATAGAGACTATTTTGGAATATGCTTCTCAGCTCTGATTTTGGGCAAGACAATCTCTTTAAACCATAAGCCTCAGTTACTTTATCTGTGAAATGGGAACACAGTAACACAAACAGGATCATAGTGAGCATTATTTGGACAATTTAATACCCAGAGACTGTTCTAAAGCTGAGATACAGCAGATAACTATATAAACAAGGCTCCTAATCTTATGAAGCTTATGTCGTAGAGGTACTCAATACATTGTTTATAATAATAACATATAATTACTGTTATTGATATTTTTTGTTAATTTGGCCCTTTCTTTTTCCATACCAATTTGTTCTTAGAAAAGAATCTATTATTTCAATAGAAATCATTTTCTTTTTCATGCTTTTTTTCATGATTGTTTTAGTGTTGCTAAAAGTCATAGTTTATGAATTGCCTTATAGATTAAAAAATATTTTACCATGCAGGCTAAGCCTGGCAATTTCCCAAGAGGTCAAAGAATCCTAGAGAGATATACAATCTTCTGAGAACAATCCCTGAAGAAAACACCTTCATTATTGAGCACACAGGGAATGTCTTGAGTGAGAAAGGATCCGGAAAGCAGCCTAGGGATATGGGGCCCTCTGAGAAGGAGCACCACGGCTGTGGCCTCCGGAGAGAGTTGGATGGACATGCTTAGGAGAGAACAATGCCAGAAGTGCCATTAGGCACATGTGGCTGAGAAGCCCCCCAGTAGCATGGAGTACATATAAGCTTGTGTTGGCCATCTTCAGAATGTCTGTCCTGAGAGGGAACTCTCAAAGGGGTGGAATCAGACACTCTCATACGCAGCCTTGCAGAGTCCCTCCCATATCACCAGCTCTTCTTTGGGGCCCAACCAGGCTTCTCTGCTTCTGGGACATCTGGACAGTTTCATTTGGAGGCTTCTACGTGGTCCCAGGGTCTTCTGCAGTAAGTTTGCATGTCACATCAGGCCTATCTTTATTGGTGGAGGCAAAGCTTTGAAACAGAGGACACATGGATAAAAATGGGACTCCCAGTTCAACTCTGTATTTACTAACAAAGATACTCCTAATCACTTTGATACATGGGTAAACATTCTTATAGTACAGAAAGTTTTTAAAAATTGGGCAAACATTCCTAGAACCTCAAAATAATAAAATATTGGAGATGGAGGGGGATATTAGCACCAATTAACTCAACATCCTTTTTTTTTTTTGGAGCTGAGGGAAAGTGAGTTTGGAGAAGGAAAAAGTTCTTCCCAAGTTCCATTATTAATATCTGAGAAATCTGGGACCAGGAACCAGGCCTTCTGACTCTCATTCTAGTGCTCCTTCCACCTCTTGATCAATTTACAACCTGGAGCAGGAAATTTGACTATCCTTCTAATCTCCTCCCAACTTGTGCAGCTACAAAAATAGATGCAATCTGGAAGCCCAGCCATGCCAAATATTGTGGCAGACTTCCCAGCCTCTCTCTCCTCCTCCCCCAGCTGATGGGAAGTTGAAGCTCCATAACACTCTTGCTAGAAATGTGACAATTATTTCTCTTTTATTCTTCCTTATATCTAAATCCCACTGCACAACCAAGTTCAAAGCCACTCAGGATCCTCTATCCAGAAAGGAAAATTCAGATTGGTCATCAGATAAACAGAATCTTCTATTTTAGCGTCTATACATTTAAAAATATATGAGACAATTGTGAATATTTATATTTAAATAAAAGACCCATGCCAATTAAGAAGAAAAACATGGAGGCTTCGAGAGAAACCTATGTAGCTGCATGGGGTCTTCCTACTGGGATGAGACGTTAATAAAGAGAGAAACAAAAGAAGAAAGGTTGAGCATATTAAAAGATTGATTTCAAATGGTTGCTGGACGCTGTGAGAGAAGCATTGTAGAAATATAAAAGACAAGGATATTCGAACATAGCTAGAAGATGAATTCAAGAAGCTGTTTTTCTTCATGCTGATACTTGGCAGAATACTGAAAAGAGTATATGGAGACATATGTACAAGGATGCTCATTGCAGCATTATTTGTAATAGAAAAAAATGGAAATAATCTTAATCTCCTTCCATAGGGGACTGGTTAGAATAAATTATGGTGCATCTATACTATGGAATAGCATGCAGCTCTTTAAAAACACAAAGTTGAACTGCATGTTCTGATACAGAATGATGTTAAACATACATTAGGATACAAAGTGATAAAAAGGAAGTCACAATATGATGTAACATAATCTGGTTATATATAACAGAAAATGGATATATTTATACATACATAGAAAATTTCTAGAACATGCAAGAAAATTAATTGCTGGGAAATGCTAATAAAAAGAGAGAAAGAGGATGAGATGCTTTGATCTGTTGTCTTTCATCCTTCAGATGTGAAGGTTTTACCATGAGGGATATATTATTTCTAATATTTTCAAAACACAAAAATCATCCAGCACTGATTTTTCCCATATATTTTAATGTATTAATAAATGGTACACAACATTAAAAAGTAATAATGAATGCAGAAAAAATACCCAAGAGGTTTTCACCAAACACACTTTCTTCCTCCCTGAAGACTTCAGTTGCTGGGTAAAACTTATCTTCCCCATCCTTGCCATCGCCCTTTGGAACTATGAAGGCTGACACCATGTAGAATTCCTCAATCACATGCTTCCTTGGCCCCGTGATTCACAGACCTCAGACTTATTCTACATCTGCTACTAGCCTTTTGGCTACAGTAGGACCTCATTATGATGCCTAGAGTTCAAACTTGGAGCTTCCTTTCTCTGGTCATAGCTCAGAAAGCTAGGAGCACAAAGAATTGGCCCAAATGTCCCAGCAAGTTCAACCAAATCATCTTTATCCCCCTTTTTGGCTAAAGACAGATCAGGGAATTCCCTCAGCCAGTGCTGGTGAAATGCAGTAAGAAGTTTGTCCAAGTCTCTGCAACATATCTGTAGAACCACTTAGAGAAGAGTGGGCTGGATGACTTCGTGGAGCATAGCCACAGACTTAACAAACATGTCCATAAAGCATAAGGTACTAATGAAGGCAATTGGAGAGAGGATCTAAAGGTCTGCAAAAGAGTCCAGTGTTGGGCCTTATCACACTGATTTTCTTTTCCCTCCCAATTTATTAAAACATTCTGACCTCTGAACATGAAAAGATACAAATTGGACCATTTTTTTTCTATGATAAAAACTTGCCCTGTCTACATACTGTATGGCTCCATTTATATGACATTCCAGAAAAAGCAAACTAGAGAGATAGAAAGTAGGTGTTAGAGCTGGAGTGGGGATTGGCTACAATGGGGCAGCATGAGTCAATTTTTTGGAAGATGAAACTATCCTGTGTCATGATTCCAGAGATGAATACCTGACTGTATGCATTTGTCAAAACCCTTAGAACTATATGCCATAAAAATGTGAATTTTTCTGTATGTAAATTTAAAACTAAATAGAAAAAAGTGCTTTGTCATGTTGAGATCCTATTATTTATTATAATAATAATAAATGGATATAAAAATGAATGCTAGGTCCTCACTTCAACAGCTTACAACTGCAAAGGCAAAATTCCCCTAGTTTCTTCTGAGTTGGAGTTAAGCTATCTGGCTGCACATACCCATCATATCCTCAGGTGGCCCCTGTCTGCCTCCCCAGTTTTGTCTCCACTCATTACTTTTTCTTCCCACTCCACATTCTCAGTCCTAAATATACCAAGTTGCTTCCTGCCCCTGTGCCTTTGCACACAGGTCTCTTAACTAGTAACACCTTTGCCTCACCATCTCCCTGCACTAACCATGAAAACCCTTCAACCTTCAAAACCCAGCTCAGCCAACAGCTTCTTAGAAAATCTTCCCTGACTCCTCGTTGAGCCATCTCTCTACATTGTTTATTTCTATTGCCACCCCGAGTGAAAGATGCATTGTTCACTTGGCTCCTGGAGTTAAATTGAGCTCCTGGAGGATAGATGCTAGGTCTTCTTCTTCACTTCTGGGTCCTCAGAACCCAGCACACGGTTGGATACAAAATGCCACACTCAAATAAGTATTTGTAGACTTTAAACAATTTTAGATCATTAATTTTTTTTTTCTGATTAGGCAAGCTAAATCACTAGTTGTGTTTGAACAAGGGGCATTTCTCAAAAAAAAAAAAATTCCTAACACTATAATCGGTTTTTCCTTTTCTAGCATTTTGTTAGTATTTGGGGACAATTTCACATATTAAGAGGGTGTAGTCACCATTAATCCATTTTATAGCATGTTTTGCAAGATGTAGTCTCATATCTTACTTCAGTCAATTTTCTTCTGGTTTTCAGGCACTGGTGTAAATAAGCTTGCAATGCCTTTGTGTGATTCCTAATTCTTCCCTGCAGTCCCTTATACTTAAGATAAGAGGACTAAAGTGCATTTGACTTCAGCTGGGGCTTATTGTGATGCATCCAAAAGCAAATGGAGAAATATCAGCAGACCACACAGACTCCTTGGAAAGGACTGTGATGCATTGCTGTAAGAATCTCAGAATATTGCTTGTGGTAAAACCCCTGTGCCTCACTCAAATACTAAGGGATCTGAAAGGATTGGAGGAAGGGATTTCCCATCCTGAATTCTCTATTCACCAAAGCTGATCTCATTCCCTGACTTCAGTGATAAGATAGGTCGAAGACACCTGGCTGTTTCAGGCTAGTATTTTGACAATGGCTAGGATGGATCCTTGCCTTCAAGGAGACTGCAGTAGGCTCAGTCTTCAGGGAGAGCTGCCAGCTTTGTTGTCACACTTGCTCAAGTCAAGGTAGATCTGGCTGGAGCTGGGGATATGGCCAGTCCATTACAGGTCTGGATAAGGTGTGATTAATGGCAGGACCAAAGGTTTCAGAACATGGCTCTGAGGCCTTGGCAACCACATTCACGAGTACAGCATCTTAGAAGAGTGGCATAGGAAACATGCTGTCATCTCGCTAATCCTCAGTTTCCCCATCTGTCATAGAGAAAGGATTAAAACTAATGATTTCTAAGGCTCCCTTCCCAGCTGCAACTTGGGTAAAACAGAATGGTCAGAAACAAGGCCAGGCAGGAGCAGAGGGCAAGGCAGCTCAGAGTTCATGCTGAGCTAGAGAAGAACAAAAAGTAAGAGCAACCTTTGGGGATTCCTGGATGGCTCCTGAGGTTTCCCACACCAATAAGACACTGGGGAAGCTGTCCACAAGACCATTTAACAAGCTATATGCTTAGAGAATATTTGCAAAGAAGGGCCTGCTCAGTAGCCTTCAGAGGCCCATGGAGTAGCGCATGGACAATCTACTAGGATCCAGTATCCCAGGCAGGAGTCCTAGGGGCAGGACTCACATTTCTCAGTCCAGCTGGCCCCTACACTGGCCCCAGCCTTGGCATAGCCCTTCTGACTTCTTTCAAACACCTTCTCTTTATTCGCTCTAAACTCCAATGTATATTTCATTAGAAAGCAACATGGCATGGCAGAAATACAGCAACTTTAGAGTGAAGCCCTGAATGTGAGTCTTAGCAGCCTCGACTGTTATGCACCACATAATCTTGAGTAAATTATTTTTGCCACCACTACCTCAGTGTTCTTCATCTGTAAAATGGAAACTATACCACCCATCTCTAGAGATGTTTTCATGATTCAAATCAGATCACTAAATTGCCGTGCTCTGTAAACTGAAACACTAGACAAACCTAAGCCATTAGCCATGTCAAATTATTTTGGGAAGTCATTGGGGTCTAAATGATGCATAAACAAAACCAGAGCTGGAGAGAAAGCCTCGCTTGGCCCTGTGCAGACTCACTGTCTCCTTTCCGTCATCTGGCGATCCCCCCGAACCCTCCCCTCCAGCCTTCCGGGCTTGGCGGTGGGGCCAGCCAGCCACTAACAGGACTCACCGCTCGAACCAGACAGTCCCCAGGGCTGGAGGCTTGTGGCTGTGAGCCTATCAGCTGGCATGTTGACAGACACAGAATCTGGCCAATAAATGTCTAATTGGGATGGTACCAATTCTCAAACACGGCAGTTCTGCATAGTGAATCCAAAGGGGTAGGAGGCAATACTAAAAGCCAGAGGTCTGGGAGGCCACAAACCTTGGCACTTCAAGGCCATGGAATGTTGTGGAAGGGTAGAGGATCTGGAAAAAACAACACACTAGCATTTTATGTGCAGGAGGCAGTGTGTGGCAGGGAAAAGTATGTGAACTCAGGGGCCTCAGACACCTGAATACCAAGCCCAGCTCTGCTATTTACTGTCTATGTATTCTTTAGCAGGTCACTTAACTTTTCTGAGCCTTGGTTTTCTCATTGTACAATGAGTATTGCAACAGTAACGTAATTCTAATACCTAACATCTACTGGAGGCGTATTATGTACCAGTCACTGTTTCATGTCCTCTGCCAGTGTAACCCATGTAACCAACTTCTCAGCATTCTTCTGAAGCTACTTGGTGAAGTATCTGGTAGGCTAACAGGCACTCTGAGAATGAGCTTCCTCCCTGTACCCTTTATCTTTATGTCCCCCAAACACAGCTGCCCTAGTGCAGCCGATATTTTATCCTTCGTGAATCCCAGCTTCACTACTTACTGGCTCTGTAGTCTTGGGCAAGTCACCTAACCACTCTGAGCCTCACTTTTTTTCTTGGGTAAAATAATGAATAATGACCTCTTAGAGTTGTTGCGGGAACAAAATGATAAAGACAAAGCACTTAGTGCAATGGCTACCAGGTAGTAAATTCTCCATATTAGTTGCTTTACTTTTTATTTATAAACCCTCTTATTTGTGTCACATTTTTTCACTTTGTGAAGCACTTTCACAGCTGTTAACTCATTAGATTTATACTCTATAAGGAAGATATGGGAAGAATTATTAATTTTTTGACAAGTGGAGGCTCAGAATTGTGGAGTGGCTTACTCAAGGTCATGTCATGAATAAGAAGTGGAGATGAAACCTAACCCAGCTCTTCCTCCTTCAAGCCTAGTGCTCTTTCTCTTCTAAGAAACTGCAGAGAGTCACTGGTAATGGCCAGAGTCAACTCCTCAAAGCTGCCCCTTCGGCCCAGAACAAAATTGATGAGTCCATTGGTTTTGTTAACGGTGGGTGAAAGCCAGAGACTCTGGGTGAATCCAGAGTCTCTGCAGCTATTCTGTGAATAGAGGGAAAGGCTCAGGCAACTACAGGTCCTTGAGGATAATTTATGGCATTTAGGGGCATTTACGAGTCAGGGAGAAGTAGGGAGAGGCTCTGAATGGAAACAGTTCCCACTGAGTTTGCAAGTCCTCAGACTTCACAGTGTCCCACAGAAATGGAATGTAAAATTGCATGGATAAATATTCTGGTAGTTTTCTGAGTAGAAAGACTATAGGTTTTGCCTGATTATCTGAAGCATTTCTGACCCACAAAAGGGAAAGAGCAGTTGCTGTAAGAATGCCACATTGACTTCCGCACTTGAAGTCACCCTCTTACAAGTCCTGTTCTATAGAGGTGGCTTTTAGGGAGGATGACCGTGACCAAAGGAAATAGACACCATGTTCTGTCTGCCTTGCCTGGTGTCACCTTTATTTCCTTCTTTTCTTCTTCTATTTGTCAACTTTTCTTTAATAAATAAAGAGTATCTTCATAGTCACTCAAAACAGCAAAGTTTTTTTTAAACCTTTAAGTCCATTATTTAACTCAAGAAACAAGAGTTTATGTAACATAAGCAGGGTTTCCCACTCTGTCTGTCTCAGCAAATGCAATTTAGATGTGCTGTTTCTAATGAAAGCAAAAACAGAACAAATAATTAAATTAAAAACAACAGCATCAATTTAGTGATTTACCAATTAGCAATTCACTCCAACATGTATTGAATAAATGCTGAGCTCACAGAACACCATGCATAGTGTTCCTAGTTTAATTGGCCTCTCTGCAACATTGAACATGCTAGCCACTGTCTTCTGCTATACCACCATCTTCCCTTGGTCTTGGTGACACACACTTCCCTGGCTCTCTGCCTCTTATAAAGTTCCCTCTTCTTTTCTCCACCTAGATATTGGCTCCATCCATAGCCTCATTTTCAAGCTATCTCTCTGATGACTTCATTTGCTTCCATGACTTCAGTATCTACCTGATGATCTACACTGATGATTCCCAAATTTACATCTTTAGCTCAGACATCTTAAAAGAATTCCAGGTTTACAAAGCCAACCTCTTACAGGACACCTCCATTTGAATGTCCCATCAGTATTCAAACTCAACACGTCAGAAGCTGAACTTATTATTCCCAGGGTTAACCCTTGACTTTGACTAGGAAGACTCAGAGTCAATTATAATCTTCCTCTTGTGCTTCCTATTAGTGACTGCAAGCAAAAACCATGGATGTTTGACTTATTTCCCACTGCCACGTCCAGTGATCCTAAGCCTTTGCTTCTTCTCCAGTACCTTCAATAACCATCAAATACCTTGGTTACTCTACTAATTTCACTTAACTGGACAATAGCAACAGCCTTGTAACAGATCTCTTTGCTCTATTCTTGACTGCTTCAATCTGTTCTTTATGCAGCAGTCAGAGTGATTTTCCCAAGATGCAAACTAGATTATGTCACTCTCATATCTAAAACTCTTCAGTGGTTACCAAGGCCTTCAGGATAAGGTTCAAACACCTGGGGATGTCTTATCAGTTCCTCTGTCTCTGACCCTTGCCCACTTCTCCAGGCATCTTCCTGCCGTCTGTATTAGTTAGGATTGAGGTTCCAGCTGCTATAACAAAGACACAGACATAAGAGTGGCTTTTAAACAAGGTAGATGGCTTCTCCTCTCTTATATAGAAAACCAAGTGTAAACAGTCAGGTCTGCTGTAGGAATCCCAGTTCCTTCTATCCTGCTGCTCCATTATCCTCAATGTGTGGCTTCCATCTAAGGTGGTCTAAGGTGATTGCTACTGTTCCTACCATCACTTTCCATTCCAGTCAACAGTAAAGGGCCAAAGGGACAATGAAAGGATCCAGATGAGATTAAAAAAACATATTACATCCACCCACACCCTGTTGACGGTAATTAAGTTATTTGTCCAACCTTGGCTTCAAGGGTGGCTATGAAATGTAGCATTTTGCTGAGCGGCTGGGTGCTAACTCATGCTTGTTTCAACCTAGGAATTTGTAACTGTTGAGAACCCTTTCTGCTCCCAGAGGACCTTGTGCTTCCCCTCCCAAAATGCTTACACTAGATTTGAATTGCTTGATTACTTATCTATTTTCTCATCCAGACTATGAGATTCTTTAGAATGGAACTGCATCTTGCTCATCTTTGTTTCCTGAGTGCCTAGCATAGTGCCTGATGCATAATAGGTTATCAATACATGTTTGTGGGTTGAATAAATTTTTTAAAGTTTAGTAAGAATAGGACCTCAAATTGTACACACAGTATGAACTTAGCTATAAAAAAAAACACAAAAAGCAAATAAACAAATATAAAAAGAGTTCCAAGTAGAAGAATATCAAAATGTTAATATAGGTTGCTTGTAGGCCATGAGATTATGGGTGGTTTCTCTCTGATTCTAGCACTATTATTTTAATTTGGGGGAAATATTATTAAAAAGGAGGAAGGAAATTTTGTTGGCTTTAATTTATATTAAGCTCTTTAAAAGTTTCACTAAAGAATTCACAATTATGTCGTCTTTGAGCCATTGCTCTTTCAAAACACCACAGAGCCAACTTGGAATGATTTATTTCAAAGTTAACATTTAGAGGAAGAGGTCACCAACCCCAGACTGGCCATTTCATAGGTGAGAAAACTAGGTCCAGAGAGAAGAAGGGGCCTCCATAAATATGGTCGTTTTTATTGTGATAAGAACACTTAACATGAGATCTATACTCTTAACAAAATTGTATGTGCATGGTAGAGTATTGCTAATTACAGGCACAATGTTGTACAGCAGATCTATAGAACTTGTCAGTCTTGTAAAACTTTATATTTGTTGAATAGCAACTCCCCATTTTCTCTCTCCCCTCAGTCCCTGGCAACCACCATTATATTCTGTTTCTATGAGTTTGACTATTTTAGAAACCTCATATAAGTGGAATCACATGGTGTTCGTCTTTCTGTGACTACCTAATTTCACTTAGCATAATGTCCTTCAGGTTTATCCACGCTGTTGTATATGGCAGGATTTTCTTCTTATTTAAGGCTGACTAATACTCCTCTCTCTCTCTCTCTCTCTCTCTTTCTCTTCTCTCTCTCTCTCTCATATAAATGATAAAAGGTTAATATCCAAAATATATAAAAAGCTCCTACAACTCAATAGCAAAACAACCAATAAAATCACATACACACAGCATGCACATGTGGGTATCACATTTTCTTTATTCATCTGTCAATGAACACTTGTTTCCATATCTTTGCTATTGGCAATAACACTACAATGAACATGACAGCATTAACATTTATTTGAGATCCCGATTTCAGTTCTTTTGGATATATACTCAGAAGTGGGATTGCTGGATCATATTGTAGTTCTATTTTTAATTATTTAAGGAAACTTCATACTGTTTTCCATAGCAGAGGCACCATTTTATATTCCCACTAACACTGCACAAGGGCTCCCAATGCTCTGTGTCCTTCGTTATCCCTTTTTTTTGACAATAGACATCCTGATAGGTGTGAAATGGTATCTCATTGTGATTTTGATTTGCATTTCCCTGATGAATAGTGATATTGAGCATTTTTCATAAACTTCTTGACCACTTGTATGTCTTCTTTCAAGAAATGTCTATTAAGTCTTTTTGCCATTTGGGGTTTGTGGGTGTGTGTGTGTGTATGTGGTTTTGATTGGCTGTTTTGCTATTGAGTTGTAGGAGCTTTATATATATTTTGGATATTAACCTTTTATCACTTACATAATTTACAAATTTTTTTCCCATTCTGTGGGTTGCCTTTTCACTCTGTTGTTTATTTTGCTGTGCAAAAGTTTTTTAGTTGGATGCAATCTCACTCATTTATTTTTGCTTATGTGGTTTGTGCTTTTGGTGTCATATCCAAGAAATCATTGCCTAGACCAATGTTATAAAGTTTTTTCTCCATGTTTTCTTCTAGGAGTTTTAGAGATTCAGGTCTCATGTTTACATTTTTGTTAATTAACTACTTTAGGTTAATTTTTGTGTACAGTGTAAGATAAGGGTCCAATTTCATTCTTTTGTATGTATGTGAAGATCCAATTTTCCCAATACCATTAGTTAAAGAGACTATCCTTTCTCCATTATGTATTATTGGCACCCAAAGATCAGTTGACCGTGTATGCTGTGGGTTTATTTCTGGGCTCTCTATTCTGCTCATTGTTCTACATGTCTGTTTTTATACCAATATTATACTGTTTTAATTAGTGTAGCTTTGTAATATATTTTGAAATCAAGAAGTGTGATGCCTTCAACTTTCTTTATCTCTCTCAAGATAGCTTTGGCTATTCAGAATATTTTGTAGTTCAATATGCACGTTAGGATTACTTTTTCTATTTTTGTTTAAAAAACGGGATATTAATAAGGGTTGCATTGAATCTGTAGATCACTTTGAATAATGTGGACATTTAAAAAATATTAAGTCTTCTAAACCATGGGGACAGGATGATTTCCCATTTATTTGTGTCTTTAATTTCTTTCATCAATGTTTTATAGTTTTCAGTGTACAAATCTTTGACCTCCTTGGTTGAGTTTATTCCCCAATTTTTTTTTCTTCTGATGCTATTGTAAATAAAATTGTTTTCTTAATTTCCTTTTTGGATAGTTTGCTGTTTGTGTGTAGAAATATAACTGATTTTTGTATGTCACCGTTGTGTTCTACGACTTTGCTAGGTTTGTTTACTAGTTTAAACTGATTGGCTGTGCCTCTGGATGTATCAGGCTTGGTTTTATTCTTTAGAGAATGCCTTTGATTGATACTTTTTAATTTCAATTGTTCTCATTTCCAGTCACGATGAACCGCCAGTCCAGAAACAACACATCCCGCTGTGTGCACGGCTCATTTTGGTGCCTTGGCCAGCGTACTGGAAATAAATGATGAAATCAGTCCTAGTAGCCCATTGCAGATGCCGCCACACTGCAGCATCCTAAGACAAGGGCATTTGTCTGCAGCTTTTCCAGGAAGAGTCCCCTGGCAAAACTTATCAAAAAAAGGCGAGGCTGCCAAATATTTTGCTCTTTCTTGACATGATTATGGGGGCCATTTTGTGATGATTTTTTAAAGAAATCTGAGTTTATTCCTTTTTTCACTTAGCTCTTAACCCCTTGGTTACACAGTCATGAAGTGGGCACAGAGGAGCAAGTCATGTTGTAAAAGACTTTGAGATCAAACAAATTCAAGGAGAATTGTTCCATCTTGATTATGCACACCTCTCCCTTGTCCCCACTGCTCTGGGTATTAGACTCCTCAGCATAGTCTGAATAGAACACGAGCAAGCAGAGCTCAGCATCTTTAGAGACATCTTTTGACCTTTGGATTCTCTCTTCCAACCTCCATACCCAGTGGTTCTACCTCCTCCAGGAAGTCTTCCTGATTGTCCTGGCTTTCTCTGGTCTCATATGCCTCAGAACTGCTAGTTCATGGCCTGTGTACATATGCCACTTTTTTTGTATGTCCCATATCTAACCTTAGGTGTTGATTTATTTTTTCATGTAAGCCTACTACATTTCCCCAATCTGTGGGCTTTCCGAAGTCACGGGCTGTGTCTGACTCATCTATATGTCCTCAGAGACTTGCTCTCAATAAGCACTCTGCAAATTCTTGTTGAATCTGTAAGATCATCCAACCATTTAGGGCAGCTTTACTTTAGAATTTGAGCCAACATTCCTTTCCCAGTTAACCCAGAGCTCCCACCTCTCACCCATAGATCTTTTGGATCAAGTCTCTCTTCTAGGCCTTCAGCTCAAGGGAAAGCAGAAAAAGTACAGGACTAATAGGTAAGAGTCCTGGGTTCAATCTAATATCTGTCTATTACTAATTGAATGAGTCATTGTATGTCTCCCAAAAATAGTTTTTTCAACTGCACAATGGTTGTTGTTGCACTACACAAGTTGTTGTAAGGATTCGGTGAAGTAGTGTACTCCCAAAATCTTGGAGACAGGTAAAACCCAAAAAGGCAACTTTATACTCCTGTGAATATTACCTTTTTTCTTCTCCACTTGTAGGAACCACAATTTTTTTGTTTCTTTCCATCCATATCTGACCCGTTCACATTACTGCTCACAAAACTCACCTCAGCACATGATGTTCTTGCCTATACCAAACAGCAGCCTCCAGAAGTGTAAATTTTATAGCTGTAAATGGAGTCATTCAAGAATAACAGGGTCAGGTCTAAGTCTGGCATCTACAGTGAGGGTTCAGAAATAGTGATAAAAGCCAAACACCCCCTCTATTACTGAAGAGAGTCAATATTCCTGGAGACATCCATGTTAGCAGTAGGAACATCTAGATGGTAACAACAAAAAGGTGCATACAGATGGAATTGGTGCAAATTGTACTGGATTTACTCTGTAAAGATCCAGTGTTTGTCTATCTTTGTTGACAATGCTTGTAACACACCAGCATTCTATATCTCTTCTCTATGGCTAAGGTCACTTGGGGGAATTCAGAGTACTTCTACAGCATGTGTGTGTGTGTGTGTGTGTGTGTGTATGTGTGCGCGCACATGTCACATAAATACAGCATGGATTCTTCATCTTTCCACTATTTGATATGCAGAATTTATGTAATGTGGATGTTCATATTAACTCTTGATTCTAGACATAGGGGAGCTCATAAATGAGTCAAAGAAAAATATCCTTAGTACCAGAATGTTGGGAGGGTCAAACCCATGTGAGGCTTTTCTGGAGCTCTTATATAATGCAAAATGCCCACAGTCCAGAAGACAAGGTTATTAGGTGAGGACTCAGAAGACAAAAACACATGTGAATTAGAGGCAAATATTACAGTGACAGATTGCTCCTCCTATCTTTCCTATAAATACCACTTCTCATGGGATATGTGTTGCTATGGTGATGGAGGTAGGGTGATCACTGAACCTAGAGGGTAATAGGAAATGTTACTGTAGGCTATAGCTTCTCTACTTTCCTGCCATGCCTCCTTTACCTCTTCCCTTCTCAGCCACACAGCCTACCAAGCTTTCTACCTTAAAGCCACTGCAATCTCTTCTCCGCACATTTCTACCTAGTAGTCACTTCCAGTTGCTCCTTTTTTGATTGGTCCCTTTCAGGGTGAGAGCTTCTTAGGATCACCTCCAGATTTCCGATTTAACTTCTCTCCCTGTGAAAATCATGTACTGCAGGCCTAAGGCAAAGGAGGCACCCAGGCTTCTGGGATACTAACCCTGCTACGACTTCTGAGCACTCAGGTCTCTAATTTCCAAAAGAGAAAGCTGGACACCTTATAAAAATATCCTCTTCTGTAAAATTCTCTCATTGGATTAGAGCTCAATCTGATACTTTAGAAGAATATACTTTCTTTGTCACTAAATGAGGAGCTCAGTGGTCCCTATCTATGTTGAGTTCCACATGAATTCACCTGCATGAGACAGAGGTTGGGACTGGAAATTGGCTGTAGGCTCAGCAAGGAAGGACAGTGTGATGTGGCTGCTTAGTAAGTCTGCAGCATCTGGTTGGTCTTGGTAAAAGGGAAGAGCTCTAATGTGTGGGAGGGCCTGGGACCCCCTTCCACCCTGTGCCGGTCAGCCCATCAGTTGGATCATCACACCCACAATTACAAGTCTCTGCTTTATGGAAGACAGATAGCCTGAGTCCACAATGGGAAGAGAAACAGGGCAGATGAAGGGTCAGACATGTAACCAATGTGAAGAAACTGGGAACTTGTGGCTTGTAGGAGAAAAGCCATTTGAGGTTCCATAACAGCTGCCTCCATTTATCTGAAAGGTGGTCATTTGGAAATGAGATCAACTACATTCTATGTGAAAACTAAAACCAATGGCTAGAGATAATAGGAAATTAATTTTGGCTCAAAATTAAGTGCACCTTCTCTAAAAAATAGAACTGGCTCTCAGTGGATGGGGCTGCCCCATGAAGAAAAGACCCCCCTACACACACACACCAGGTAGGAGCATTCAAACAGAGGTCCGATGTCAAACCATTAAGAGGTTGGCCTAAGAGATTCCAACTTCCAGGGCCCAAACCTGATGACTTCTGAAGGCCTTCTCAATTTCTGAATTTTGATGCCAAAAGAGAGTCCAGAACCTAATTCCAAAGAGCATCCTCTCCCCCGCCTCCCTTTCCATCCCCAGCACACTAATTTTCCCTCCTTTGGTGCCGGTGGGAAGCAGGACTCCATGAGCGCTGGTAAGTGAGACAAGGCTCTGCCCAGCCCTCTCAGCATGCTTGGCAATTAGCTGGACTCCAGCCTTCCAGGACTTACAAGCTCTCAGCAGGTCGTGCTACTCCACTAGTGCTTATTTAGAACCCAGGGAAGGAGGCAGCCACAGGTAGCAGGAGCTTAATTCTGAACCAGTGCTAACCAAACATTAACATTTGCATTTAAAAACAAGAGAAGGAAAAAGAACGATAAAAACTCTACTCAATTAAAGCTGTTTGCAAATGCAAATATGCCTGACACCAGAGAGAAAGGGACTCCAGAGCGGCCACCCCTCTCTGCTGACATTTGTGACCAGACAGAAAAGGGGAGTGTATACATGTTCTGGGAGAAGGAAATGGGATGGATTGGGGGGTGGAGGATGAGGAGGGACAGAAAGATAATTTTGTTCTATACCATGAAACCTATAATTTCCCTCTGACATGAAAATTAGCTCTGTAGCTAATTAGCTTTCTAATATCATTTGCTGCCACAGAAGGGATACAAGTTTATGAATTTATGAAGCTACCTGGAAAAGAAAAAAGAACTGCAAGTTTGCAAGAGGGGATTAGCTGATTGAAATCGCTGAGGCCATTTCAGGGGATCAGGCCTGTGGCTGCCTTTGTGCCCTGAAGCATCCCTCAGACAGAGGCCTGGTGCTGTGTCCACACAACCTCTCCCCTGTGGCACCTCCTGGCTTCCCTGAGGAGGCTCCTGTCTTTGCAAAGTCCTACTGGAAAGTGTCTCCTCATACTGCACTGGACTGTGTCCTCTGAAGCTCCTGTGGCTGGTCCTTATTGTGTCTCTTGAGTGGCAGAGCTCACTTTCCCTCCCCCTGCCCAGAACAAGCCTTCTGTGGCTTGAAGGCATCTACAGATGAGGCTGTGAGTCTGCTTGGCAGCTGGCCTGCTTACCCCATCAAACATCTTCCCCTCTCTTCTCTGAGTGGCTCCAGGCTTTTTGCCCTTCCTATCAAGTTCACTGTGATTCACTTTGGTCAAGAGCCTTCCAGAAGCTTCTGGAACTCAGCCAGGCCATGGGTGGTTTCTCTTATTTTTATTTTCTTTAAAATATAATCATAGCTTATGTCAGCTTATGTTTACAGATCACATATTATGTGCCAAACATGTCATGTGCTTTATTTCATTTAACCATCATAGGAACTCCAGGAGTTAGATGTTAGATTATCATTCCCACTTAACAGATGAGAAAACTGAGGCTCAGAGAGGTTGCAGGTGTGGTAAGTTATACAGCCAGGATTTTGAACTCAGGTCTGTCATTTGTTATCAAAACCACTACCTCACCCATGCAGGGCCTTTTGCAACTCATTACGATTACTTTCATTGATTTTGTGCTTTGCCTAATCCTCAGGATACAGGCGAGGAATATGATCCTCACAGTGGTTGAGTGACCTGCCCCTTGTCCACAGCTGGCCATCAGTGGGTCTGGGGTTGGAACACAAACTCTGTTCCATGTTTTCTGTGCCTCAGCACATTAACTTACACCTGCTAAATATTTTGTCCTAAAATTGTTTTCTTTGGATTAAAAAAGTCTCAAGATAATTATGACTTCCATTAAATACAACCAAAAAGTTTAACACATGAGATTAACACAGAGCAGATTTTGAATTCTTGCCTGTAATTAAATCTATTTTTAAGGACACTTCCCAGGGGCTCCTAAACGTAATGTAATTGTACTCCATGGCTTCCTCCATGCAGATAGATATCAGCTCGTGGCTACATGTAACTACAGCTTTGGGTCCAGACCATCACCATCCAGGCCCCGAGTCTTCAAAGAAGCCCAAGGGGCCACAGAGCCCTGCCCAGCTCACTGTCCAAACAAAGTATTCTCCTGCCCCGTCTCCTGCTCCCCGCTCGCCAGTACCTGCCAGCTTAAGGGTGGATTTGTGCAGTGACTACAACTCCCACATTGAGCCCTAAGTTCTCAGATCTGTTATCTCTTGGGCTGGGGTCCACTGTGGTTCCTCTTTGGCCTCTCCAACCAGGACAGGGCCCCGTACCACATGCTCCCTATAATCTGACCCTGACATTTCCCAACTTTCCTGATGGCCACAGTTTGTAATACCTCAACCCCAAATAAACACTTTAAAAATAGAGAATAATAAACACTTTAAAAATAAAGAATAATGTCAGAGCGAGACTCCGTCTCAAAAAAAAGAATAATGTCATCCATTTATCTAGTGAAATCCACAATACATCAAGCCCCCATTCAGTACAAATGGCCCTTCAGTAGAAGTCATCAATTAAGCTGAATTTTAAAAAATATCTGTATCATTATCATCCTCTTTCTAAATACTGTTAGGAATTACTGGTCCTTAAATGATTACATTCACTAATTGTAATAAATTTATTTTGGGATGTCTTAGAAAACAAACTTGAAGATGAATAAAGCAATGCTCCTTAATACTGAAATTGCTAAACTTCTCATGGAATATAAAAAGCAAATTACTTTTAAAACATACTCTTCCAGGTTATGTAGCTTAGGGGACTGATTGCAACTCTTATGTGGCTAGTTTTTTTAAAAGTTTGTGATATCCAATAATAGTACTCTTAAAGAGTAATTAACATCTTCAGAATAGGATTCATGAATATTACTCACTGCAGCTTATGGAATCCAAACAAAAGCACAGCCAAGAGCCCAAGGCATGGTTGATATGCAGGAAATAGCCAGACCAGGCTGTTTGGTCAGCAGCCTCAACGCTCCAACTGGAGACTGGAATGGGACTCAAAGGGGCCTGGGATTACGCTTCCCAAAACATGCCAAAGACCGTCATCTGGCTCAAGAAATCTGGAAATTCAATTTCTTCATTCCCAATAATGCCCTTAAAAAAAGTCAGCTTTAATAAGTATCAAGAGTGTATCCAGTTTTGATGCTCTCCTGCGTACTTAAAAATATTACATACCAACCTTCTGTTTTCATATAATCTCCATTACATAGTTGGGCTTTGCCCACATTCTGGTAATGATGTCTGTCTTTCAAAATTTGCTTTTCTCACAAATAAAGAAAAGAGTCCCTGTTCTCCAGGCAGCCTCTCCTTTTACCTCCTAGCTAGGCTCAACCCCGCCATTCCCTTCCTTAGTCCTTTGAAACTGGGTCTCACCTGAGGTGGATTTGCTGCCCTGTTCTTTTGGTGAGTTCTGCATGTACCTCTCATCTGCTTCCTCATTTCCTCTGTGGACTTCGCATTAAGATGACACCTTTGAGGCTGTTCTGGCAGCCTATCCTCAGAAAGACCTCCTTGGGTCCGGCTGCTTCCGGAGATATGAAAGCGGAATTGGGTGGGAAGGATGGTTTTAGGAAACTTGAATGCAAATCATATGCAAATGATACTGCTAACAAGCTGTGTGACCCGAGGAAAATCACACAGCATCTCTGAATCTTTATTTTGGTGATTTGTAAAGGGGAGATTCTCACCCCAACTCCCCTCATTTGGAGCAAGATGGTCATGAAATGACGAAAGCAAAGGAGCTCTGTAAACCACAAAGAGCTGTCCAGAGGTCAACAGATGTTATTTATTCTCCTAGCAACATCACTGCTTTCATCTGGGCAGCTGTTAGCAGCTGCATTATTCTTCCCCCCACAGGTCCCAGCATTCCCATCTCTCCTGTCATCCTACTCCAGGAGGGCCCATCCCAGTGACCCCAGTTTCAGTTTCACAGAAGGTGCAGCTGGGTCCTTTTTCTCTGCAGCTGAAGCACTCAGTTTGCCAGAAGCCTGCCCCTCAGATAACTTCTTAAAATGCCGTTAAAGCATGCCAAACTTCCTCTCAGTTCCTGAAGCAAAACACAAGCAGCTGGCAAGTGGTTAACCCAAGCCACCCTCACCACCGCACCATCACACATATCTGGGGACAACAAAACGATGCTAACAGGGCATAAGCTTTGAGGCGTGATGGGCCTGGATTTGAATCCTGCCCTCAACCATTACCAGCAGTGTGATCTTGGGCAAGTCTCTTAACTTCTGTGAGCCTCAATTTTCTCATCTATAAAATGGAAACAATAATACCTCACAGGGGCACTTGGTAGATGATGATCATTATGATGATGATAATATGACAGAAATGCGGGGAGCTTGTTTAGACAGCGTTTAGTTTACTGCTGCTTTTACTGGGACTGTTAATATTTCCTAATAACTTGTTAGGCAAGTTCAAGATTTCCTGGGGCCAGTGTACCATTTGAAGGTCTGGGGAGAGAAGCCCTGCGTAGTCCCCCTAGACGACCCGCTTTTTTCCTAGGGTCTCATCCAAGATAAATCCCATTTCTCATACCATGCTCCATATCTCCAGAAAATTGGATTAATACAAATAAAACTCTTGGAATAATTCCAAACTGAGCCACTCACTGTTCCCCAAGTAAGCCCCTCATAGTCTTGCCTCTGGGTGCATGTTCACACAATCCCCTCCACCAGGACAGCCTGTCCCCCTTGCAGTGCCAATAGGCATATGCCAATCTTTCATAGCCATCTTTCCAGTCTCATCAGCTCAGCCTCCCCTGGTACTCAGAGTTCTTGGCAAACATGTCTTCTCTCTCTCTGCCCTGATGCCTCTAGGAGGGCAGAGGCCCTGCTACCATCTCCCAGGGAGAAAACAGAGTGGGGCTTAAGGGGAGGAGGGGCTGTGGGAGGTGGTACCAAAAACTGACACAGGAAGAAGAAAGAACCAGGAATCAGAAAGATAAATTACTGAAGCCAGGGAAAATTTGCATCAGAGGGTCACTCTGTGATAGGACAGGATTTTCATGAAGGGAAAAATTCAGTTTAGTGTAAGAAATCAAACAAGAGAAGCGCTATGGGGAGTCTTTACCCAGAAAAGATGCAAAATATCTTCACAGGGCTTCCCATGTGCAATGTTCTACAAGGCCATTATTAAAATCCATAAATGGTGAGAAGCTAGATGAGAACCCAGAATAACATTAGTGTTCAATCAGTGCAGGAACAATCATCAATAAGGCCAACAGGAGAGGTTCAGAGAACAGCAGAGACATTCACACTGTGCTGGAGGCCTCTCCTCCTCCAGGTGATTCCTGTGTGTTTAACGTTTCTTTATTCCTGCAGTATCCTGTGTATCATGACTGTACTCTTACAGGTTCATTGGGGACAGAGCTGAGTCTGTTTCCTGCTTGTCTTCTTGATGTCCAACACAGGGCCAGCCACAGAGCCCATCTCCATAACTGGGTGCTAGACCATGCCTCCTGCTCATGTTTCCTCACACCTGAGTGAGCCTTCCTGCGTTGAAGGCCAAGTCTGCATCTCTAGGCTTTGACTCTGAAGCCAGTCTCTTTTCATGGCAGCTCAATCATCATGCTGGCTGAGAGGTCTCAGTAAATATCTATTGACAGAGATCTCGCACACTTCTGGTCTCCTCTTTACTTACCTGTCAAACTCTGGCAGCAATGCCTTCTCAACCCCACCTGTCCTCCAGCTCTGAATCCTATCCTGGCCCAAAGTAGAGGGAAGAACAAGGTCTTGGTGTAGGTATCAGCCAACATAGCAACTCACTCAATTCTGACTTCATATCCAGAAGAAGACTTTTCACTATCTAGTCTATGTTATAAAAATGGATTTAAGGATGGGTGAGGTGGCTCATGCCTGTAATCCCAGCACTTTGGGAAGCTGAGGTAGGTAAATCACGAGATCAGGAGTTCGAGACTAGCCTGGTCAACATGGTGAAACCCTGTCTCTACTAAAAATACAAAAATTAGCCGGGCATGGTGGCACATGCCTGTAATCCCAGCTACTCAGGAGGCTGAGGAAGGAGAATCACTTGAACCCGGAAGGCAGAGGTTGCAGTAAGCCGAGATCACCCTATTGCACTCCAGCCTGGGCAACAGAGTGAGACTCCATCTCAAATAAATAAATAAATAAATAAATAAATAATGGATTTAGAGGACAATCACCTTAATAAATCACCTGTTTTTATTTCTGCTTGTTCCAGTATAGACATAACTTTTGTATAGCACAGAACCTTAGAATTATAATTCTTCATTCTGATTTTTTTTTTTTGCTTCATAATATAATCATTTTTTCCCTATGCTGTTGTCTGGTCCTTCATAGTTGCATAATATTTGCATTGGGTCAATGTAGCACAATTTACTTAACCAGCTCACTAGTTTTTGGTGACTTCCAAATTGGTGCTAAAATTACATTGCAATGACAATCTTGGTGGATATTATTTTTCTGAATTTAGAATTATTTTCTAAGGATAGATTTTCAGAAAAGGAATCAATGAATTAAAGAGTATGAGTGTTTTTGAAACTCTTAATATATAGTGCCAAATTAAAGTTAGTGGGGTATTTTTAACTAATTTATGTTGCCATGAGCAATGTGTAAGTACTTCAGTTTCATCACAACATCACCTATATTGGGTGTCATGATTATTTAACATTTTTGCTAATTTAGAATGTATAAGTGATACCTCATTTTGAAAAAAATTTGCCCTTCTTTAATCACTGGTGAAGTTGGCAGATTTCTCTTATGTTTCTCTTATGCTCATATCTCCTCTTGGAGATCTTGACAGTGCTAGAATTTCTGCTCTGGTGGTGAAGATACCCAGTGTTTTAGTTCTTGCATTTGTAACCTGTGCTCCCTCACTCTGGCTTTT
Organism: Homo sapiens; assembly: GCF_000001405.40. Classification (NCBI taxonomy): domain Eukaryota; kingdom Metazoa; phylum Chordata; class Mammalia; order Primates; family Hominidae; genus Homo; species Homo sapiens. The sequence goes on from NC_000009.12 coordinate 99,494,868, forward strand.
TCCCCTAGTTGCTAATCTCTCTGATACAACTTGATCTCACGTTTGTCAACCATTTTACCAAAGTCTAAAAACTTGGGTAGGGATTTATAATCATGGATTAAGAGAATGTCAGATGCAGTTAAAAGTTTAGGTTTCAGGGCAAACTCTGGTATTTTCTTGTTTGTTCATTTTTTAAACTGGGCGACATTAACTTCACTTTTTCTCTCTGGGGTGTCTCTTTTCTCACCTGCAGAAAAGAGTAATACCACTTACCCACTTACCCTACAGTGTTGTCTGAGCACTTTGAGCTTTATAAAAGAAGTGTCAGCTAAATTTTTCTGTAAAGGGCAGATAGGAAATATTTTAGGTTAGCAGGTCATCTGGTCCCTGACACACTACTAAACTCTGCCACTGAAACATGAAAGTAGTGTAGACAATAGTAAAAATAAATTACCATGGCTATTGTTCAATAAATTTTTCTTTATAGATACCAAAATTAATTTACCTGTAAATACATAATTTATACTTTATATTGATTTTTTAAAATATAATATATAACATTGCAAATTATATAACAAGGATATATATATAATTATATGTGGTATATTTTATACTTATATGTAAATTATATAATTACATATAATTATATATATTTTTAATTTTGTATAATTTCCATTATATACAATGTGTCACAAAATACTGTTCTTTTGATTTTTTTCTGACCATTTAAAATTGCAAAAACCATTTTTTGCTCATGGGCTGTACAAAAACAGGGAGCAGGCTGGATTTGACCCATGGACTCTAGCTCAGCCAGCTGCTTCTCTAAAGCCCTAACCAGCTTAAGATCTCATGGGATAGTCAAAACAAATCAATACTCAGGACAGGCAATAGTACCGTCCCTGATTTTTAGTAGAGAAAACAAGGGACAAAGAAAGTTAAATGACTTGTCCAAGGTCGCACAGCCAGTATAAGGAAGGGCTGGAATTGGGATCAGATCTGGCTAACTCCAAATCCCAAACAATGTGGTTGTGGCCAGCTTCCTCCCCAGTCAGTGATCCCAGTCCTGGTCCAACTCCCTTGTGTCAGAATCTATTCCCAGATCCCTGAGTTTTCTGACCCATCGTTGAGTGACTCCTTCCTCAACCTGTTCCACACTGACCCCACCCAAGGCCAGAGACTAACATGGCCCCAAATCAGAAAAAAACAAAACAAGCCTTTCTACCTTCTACAAAAAGCCTCTTTATCCTCCAACCACAAAGTCACGTATTTGCAGAACCAAGCACCAAGTTTCCACATTCATGGAGATGTTTAGTGGTACATAGACAGGACTCAAATCTGTCTGCCACAAACACTCTGCAAACATTCACTTGTCCAATCAGCTCTGATTATCAATCTTCTCCCTTATGACATGTGACCACAATCACATTTTTCTTTTTTGTTTCTTTTTGATGAGTCCCATACTCTTGGAGGACAAGACCAGCATCAATAGAAAAATCACTACTCTTGGAAACAGGAAATCCTGGTACAACAAGAGCCCACATCATCTGGTGGAACAAGAAAAGGCTTTTGCAAATGGTAACCAGAGTTCAAGAGGTGGTTCTGCCACTAATGACCTGACTTCCCTGAGGTTTAGTTTCTCAGCTGAAAATGAACACAATTAGCTTTAAATGAGAAGACATTTTTAAGTGTCTCTTGTAATCTGTAGACTTATATACAAATACTAGGTAATGATGCTGTCTGTGATAAGGCTCGTACAATTTCAAACTAACACTTTAACTTGAATTATGACTTTGTCAGCTCTATTCAAGATGTAATCCTTGTCAGCTTCTACAGAAACTCAAAGGCAATGTTTCCAGGAGATTTTTTTTACCCCAAGCCTTACTTTCTTTCCTGCATGAATGGGAACTGAATTCATTATTAATTCCTCTGGCAGGAGCACAAATCCAGGGTGTATGTGGTTTGAAGTGACAAACGATAGGATGCTATTGCAGGGGCTTGTGTGGGGGCAGGCAGCATCAGCAGAGGAGAGAACTCCATTGTCCCAGGCAGTGGCATCGGCAGCCTCTGTGTGGCACCAAGGCCACCACCTACAAAGAGCACATCACAAAGCCTCCCCCAGTATCAGCACTCATGCTGATGGGGCTCTGAAATCCCAGGGATGTCAGATACACACCTCACCCAGCCTTTATAAGAACTCATTCACTTATACTAGAATCCTTGCCTTGGGTTCTGATCACAGCCTATTCAGAGCTAAAAGAGATCCTGCATCACCTGGTCTAATCTATTTCATTTCACTTATGGGGAAACTGAGACTCATATAGTGAAAGTGACTTGCTCAAGTTATAGAAGCCCTTGTCTTAGCATTAGAAGATTTTGGTGTAAGTTCTTGTTCTGCAACCAACTAGCTATGTAACTTCGGTCAGATTATCCTTGTTGAAAGATGACTAACTCTATCATCAATAAAAATTAGCATTTTGATAGGACTTGAGGGTTCATCAACTGTATTCACAATCTAATACTTACCATAAACATTAAGACAGGGCAGGCATTGTAGGAATCTGCATTTTCTCTAAGAAGAAAGAGAAGCTCAAAGAAGCAAAGTGATTTTCAGGTTTGCACAGCTAATAAGGGAAAACTTACACCTACCTTCTGGCTCCAAATATTGTGTTTTCTCCATCAATGAATACTGTTTAATTTCCTCAGTAATAAAACATTTAAAATTTGTTTTGTAAGTCCTGAAGGATATATGTAAAAGTATGTTTGAGCTAAAAACTGCTTGATCACTGGTTTCCAACATTTTGAAAATAGGGAAGTATATTCGTTATCTATTTATGGAGAATAAACCACCCCAAAACTTAGCAGCTTATAACAGCAAATATTTATACTCTCATATAGGTTCAGAGTCAGGGACATGGAAACAGCTTACCTGTGAGATTCTGACTCAAAGTCACTGACAAAATTGCGGTCAGGCCATCAGGGATGCAGTCATCTCAAGACTTGCCTGGGGCTGGAATCCTCTTCTAGACTCTCTCTTGTGGTTGGCAGCAGGCCTCAGTTCTTCACTGGCTGTTGGCCTTTGGAGCAAAACCCCCAATCCTATCCATAGGTTGTCTGAGTGTCTTTTTGATGTGCCAGCTGGCTTTCTTTAGATTAAGGGATCAAAGAAAGAGATACAGAGAGAGAAAGAAAGAGAAAGAGAGAGAGAGAGACCACCCAAGATGGAAGGCACAGTCTTTTTATAACCTAATATTAAGGGTGATATACCATCACTTCTGCAGTATTCTATTCATCAGAAACATGTCACTAAGTCCAGCCCACATGGAAAGGGAGAGCATTACACAATGACATGAATATCAGGAAATGAGGATCACAGGGGCCATTCTGGAGGCTGGCTACCATATGACCCCTTTATAATTCTAAAATTTTTGCTGACTCCCACAAGATCAAGATCATAATTTTTTTTTTTAATGGAGTCTCGCTCCTGTCATGCAGGCTGGAGTGCAGTGGCATGATCTCGGCTCACTGCAACCTCTGCCTCCCAGGTTCAAGCGATTCTCCTTCCTCAGCCTCCCGAGTGGCTGTGATTACTGACGCCTGCCACCACACCTGGCTAATTTTTGTATTTTAGTAGAGATGGGGTTTCACCACGTTGACCAGGCTGGTATTGAACTCCTGACCTCAGGTGATCCACCCACCTCGGCCTCCCAAAGTGCTGGGATTATAGGCATGAGCCACCACACCCTGCCAAGATCATAATTTTTATATCATCTGTTTGACTGAAAAAAAAAGTAGACTAAACTATATGAAATTGCCCAGGTTTACCTGTTTGTGACCCACAAAAATGGCAATTTCATATGATTCAAGCTAATTTTTCATCTCTAGAAGCTCTCAGGTAGAGGAGGAGCCAAGATGGCCGAATAGGAACAGCTCTGGTCTACAGCTCCCAGCGTGAGCGACGCAGAAGACGGGTGATTTCTGCATTTCCATCTGAGGTACCGGGTTCATCTCACTAGGGAGTGCCAGACAGTGGGCGCAGGCCAGTTGGTGCGCGCACCGTGCGCGAGCCGAAGCAGGGCGAGGCATTGCCTCACCTGGGAAGCGCAAGGGGTCAGGGAGTTCCCTTTCCGAGTCAAAGAAAGGGGTGACGGACGCACCTGGAAAATCGGGTCACTCCCACCCGAATATTGCCCTTTTCAGACCGGCTTAAAAAATGGCGCACCACGAGACTATATCCCACACCTGGCTCGGAGGGTCCTACGCCCACGGAATCTCGCTGATGGCTAGCACAGCAGTCTGAGATCAAACTGCAAGGCGGCAGCGAGGCTGGGGGAGGGGCGCCCGCCATTGCCCAGGCTTGCTTAGGTAAACAAAGCAGCTGGAAGCTCGAACTGGGTGGAGCCCACCACAGCTCAAGGAGGCCTGCCTGCCACTGTAGGCTCCACCTCTGGGGGCAGGGCACAGACAAACAAAAAGACAGCAGTAACCTCTGCAGACTTAAATGTCCCTGTCTGACAGCTTTGAAGAGAGCAGTGGTTCTCCCAGCACGCAGCTGGAGATCTGAGAACCTGCAGACTGCCTCCTCAAGTGGGTCCCTGACCCCTGACCCCCGAGCAGCCTAACTGGGAGGCACCCCCCAGCAGGGGCACACTGACACCTCACACGGCAGGGTATTCCAACAGACCTGCAGCTGAGGGTCCTGTCTGTTCGAAGGAAAACTAACAAACAGAAAGGACATCCACACCGAAAACCCATCTGTACATCACCATCATCAAAGATCAAAAGTAGATAAAACCACAAAGATGGGGGAAAAACATAACAGAAAAACTGGAAACTCTAAAACGCAGAGCATCTCTCCTCCTCCAAAGGAATGCAGTTCCTCACCAGCAACGGAACAAAGCTGGATGGAGAATGACTTTGACAGCTGAAAGAAGAAGGCTTCAGAAGATCAAATTACTCTGAGCTACGGGAGGACATTCAAACCAAAGGCAAAGAAGTTGAAAACTTTGAAAAAAATTTAGAAGAATGTATAACTAGAATAACCAATACATAGAAGTGCTTAAAGGAGCTGATGGAGCTGAAAACCAAGGCTCGAGAACTACGTGAAGAATGCAGAAGCCTCAGGAGCCGATGCGATCAACTGGAAGAAAGGGTATCAGCAATGGAAGATGAAATGAATGAAATGAAGCGAGAAGGGAAGTTTAGAGAAAAAAGAATAAAAAGAAATGAGCAAAGCCTCCAAGAAATATGGGACTATGTGAAAAGACCAAATCTACGTCTGATTGGTGTACCTGAAAGTGATGGGGAGAATGGAACCAAGTTGGAAAACACTCTGCAGGATATTATCCAGGAGAACTTCCCCAATCTAGCAAGGCAGGCCAACGTTCAGATTCAGGAAATACAGAGAATGCCACAAAGATACTCCTCGAGAAGAGCAACTCCAAGACACATAATTGTCAGATTCACCAAAGTGGAAATGAAGGAAAAAATGTTAAGGGCAGCCAGAGAGAAAGGTCGGGTTACCCTCAAAGGGAAGCCCATCAGACTAACAGCGGATCTCTCGGCAGAAACCCTACAAGCCAGAAGAGAGTGGGGGCCAATATTCAACATTCTTAAAGAAAAGAATTTTCAACCCAGAATTTCATATCCAGCCAAACTAAGGTTCATAAGTGAAGGAGAAATAAAATACTTTACAGACAAGCAAATGCTGAGAGATTTTGTCATCACCAGGCCTGCCCTACAAGAGCTCCTGAAGGAAGCGCTAAACATGGAAAGGAACAACCGGTACCAGCTGCTGCAAAATCATGCCAAAATGTAAAGATCATCGAGACCAGGAAGAAACTGCATCAACTAACAAGCAAAATCACCAGCTAACTTCATAATGACAGGATCAAATTCACACATAACAATATTAACTTTAAATGTAAATGGACTAAATGCTCCAATTAAAAGACACAGACTGGCAAATTGGATAAAGAGTCAAGACCCATCAGTGTGCTGTATTCAGGAAACCCATCTCATGTGCAGAGACACACATAGGCTCAAAATAAAAGGATGGAGGAAGATCTACCAAGCAAATGGAAAACAAAAAAAGGCAGGGGTTGCAATCCTAGTCTCTGATAAAACAGACTTTAAACCAACAAAGATCAAAAGAGACAAAGAAGGCCATTAAATAATGGTAAAGGGATCAATTCAACAAGAAGAGCTAACTATCCTAAATATATATGCACCCAATACAGGAGCACCCAGATTCATGAAGCAAGTCCTGAGTGACCTACAAAGAGACTTAGACTCCCACACATTAATAATGGGAGACTTTAACACCCCACTGTCAACATTAGACAGATCAACGAGACAGAAAGTCAACAAGGATACCCAGGAATTGAACTCAGCTCTGCACCAAGCGGACCTAATAGACATCTACAGAACTCTCCACCCCAAATCAACAGAATATACATTTTTTTCAGCACCACACCACACCTATTCCAAAATTGACCACATAGTTGGAAGTAAAGCTCTTCTCAGCAAATGTAAAAGAACAGAAATTATAACAAACTATCTCTCAGACCACAGTGCAATCAAACTAGAACTCAGGATTAACAATCTCACTCAAAGCCGCTCAACTACATGGAAACTGAACAACCTGCTCCTGAATGACTACTGGGTACATAACGAAATGAAGGCAGAAATAAAGATGTTCTTTGAAACCAACGAGAACAAAGACACAACATACCAGAATCTCTGGGATGCATTCAAGGCAGTGTGTAGAGGGAAATTTATAGCACTAAATGCCCACAAGAGAAAGCAGGAAAGATCCAAAATTGACACCCTAACATCACAATTAAAAGAACTAGAAAAGCAAGAGCAAACACATTCAAAAGCTAGCAGAAGGCAAGAAATAACTAAAATCAGAGCAGAACTGAAGGAAATAAAGACACAAAAAACCCTTCAAAAAATCAATGAATCCAGGAGCTGGTTTTCTGAAAGGATCAACAAAATTGATAGACCACTAGCAAGACTAATAAAGAAAAAAAGAGAGAAGAATCAAATAGACACAATAAAAAATGATAAAGGGGATATCACCACCGATCCCACAGAAATACAAACTACCATCAGAGAATACTACAAACACCTCTATGCAAATAAACTAGAAAATCTAGAAGAAATGGATAAATTCCTCGACACATACACTCTCCCAAGACTAAACCAGGAAGAAGTTGAATCTCTGAATTGACCAATAACAGGAGCTGAAATTGTGGCAATAATCAATAGTTTACCAACCAAAAAGAGTCCAGGACCAGATGGATTCACAGCCGAATTCTACCAGAGGTACAAGGAAGAACTGGTACCATTCCTTCTGAAACTATTCCAATCAATAGAAAAAGAGGGAATCCTCCCTAACTCATTTTATGAGGCCAGCATCATTCTGATACCAAAGCCGGGCAGAGACACAACAAAAAAAGAGAATTTTAGACCAATATCCTTGATGAACATTGATGCAAAAATCCTCAATAAAATACTGGCAAACCGAATCCAGCAGCACATCAAAAAGCTTATCCACCATGATCAAGTGGGCTTCATCCCTGGGATGCAAGGCTGGTTCAATATACGCAAATCAATAAATGTAATCCAGCATATAAACAGAGCCAAAGACAAAAACCACATGATTATCTCAATAGATGCAGAAAAAGCCTTTGACAAAATTCAACAACCCTTCATGCTAAAAACTCTCAATAAATTAGGTATTGATGGGACGTATTACAAAATAATAAGAGCTATCTATGACAAGCCCACAGCCAATATCATACTGAATGGGCAAAAACTGGAAGCATTCCCTTTGAAAACTGGCACAAGACAGGGATGCCCTCTCTCACCACTCCTATTCAACATAGTGTTGGAAGTTCTGGCCAGGGCAATTAGGCAGGAGAAGGAAATAAAGGGTATTCAATTAGGAAAAGAGGAAGTCAAATTGTCCCTGTTTGCAGAGGACATGATTGTATATCTAGAAAACCCCATTGTCTCAGCCCAAAATCTCCTTAAGATGATAAGCAACTTCAGCAAAGTCTCAGGATACAAAATCAATGTACAAAAATCACAAGCATTCTTATACACCAACAACAAACAGAGAGCCAAATCATGAGTGAACTCCCATTCACAATTGCTTCAAAGAGAATAAAATACCTACGAATCCAACTTACAAGGGATGTGAAGGACCTCTTCAAGGAGAACTACAAACCACTCCTCAAGGAAATAAAAGAGGATACAAACAAATGGAAGAACATTCCATGCTCATGGGCAGGAAGAATCAATATCGTGAAAATGGCCATACTGCCCAAGGTAATTTACAGATTCAATGCCATCCCCATCAAGCTACCAATGCCTTTCTTCACAGAATTGGAAAAAACTACTTTAAAGTTCATATGGAACCAAAAAAGAGCCCGCATTGCCAAGTCAATCCTAAGCCAAAAGAACAAAGCTGGAGGCATCACACTACCTGACTTCAAACGTTACTACAAGGCTACAGTAACCAAAACAGCATGGTACTGGTACCAAAACAGAGATATAGATCAATGGAACAGAACAGAGCCCTCAGAAATAATGCCGCATACCCACAACTGTCTGATCTTTGACAAACCTGAGAAAAACAAGCAATGGGGAAAGGATTCCCTATTTAATAAATGGTGCTGGGGAAACTGGATAGCCATATGTAGAAAGCTGAAACTGGATCCCTTCCTTACTCCTTATACAAAAATCAATTCAAGATGGATTAAAGATTTAAACATTAGACCTAAAACCATAAAAACCCTAGAAGAAAACCTAGGCATTACCATTCAGGACATAGGCATGGTCAAGGACTTCATGACCAAAACACCAAAAGCAATGGCAACAAAAGGCAAAATTGACAAATGGGATCTAATTAAACTAAAGAGCTTCTGCACAGCAAAAGAAACTACCATGAGAGTGAACAGGCAACCTACAAAATGGGAGAAAATTTTCGCAACCTACTCATCTGACAAAGGGCTAATATCCAGAATCTACAATGAACTCAAACACATTTACAAGAAAAAAACAAACAACCCCATCAAAAAGTGGGCGAAGGACATGAACAGACACTTCTCAAAAGAAGACATTTATGCAGCCAAAACACACATGAAAAAATGCTCATCATCACTGGCCATCAGAGAAATGCAAATCAAAACCACTATGAGATACCATCTCACACCAGTTAGAATGGCAATCATTAAAAAGTCAGGAAACAACAGGTGCTGGAGAGGATGTGGAGAAATAGGAACACTTTGACACTGTTGGTGGGACTGTAAACTAGTTCAACCATTGTGGAAGTCAGTGTGGCGATTCCTCAGGGATCTAGAACTGGAAATACCATTTGACCCAGCCATCCCATTACTGGGTATATACCCAAATGACTATAAATCATGCTGCTATAAAGACACATGCACACGTATGTTTATTGCGGCATTATTCACAATAGCAAAGACTTGGAACCAACCCAAATGTCCAACAATGATAGACTGGATTAAGAAAATGTGGCACATATACACCATGGAATACTATGCAGCCATAAAAAATGATGAGTTCATGTCCTTTGTAGGGACATGGATGAAATTGGAAATCATCATTCTCAGTAAACTATCGCAAGAACAAAAAACCAAACACCACATATTCTCACTCATAGGTGGGAATTGAACAATGAGATCACATGGACACAGGAAGGGGAATATCACACTCTGGGGACTGTTGTGGGGTGGGGGGAGGGGGGAGGGATAGCATTGGGAGATATACCTAATGCTAGATGATGAGTTAGTGGGTGCAGTGCACCAGCATGGCACATGTATACATATGTATCTAACCTGCACAATGTGCACATGTACCCTAAAACTTAAATTAAAAAAAAAAAAAGAAGCTCTCAGGTATTCATGAACACTTTTTGATGATGCTGTACTTCATTAATTGCAATAGCATGTGTGTTCTTAGGGAAAATGTTACTTTTATAGTTGGAGGTATGTTATTTATTCAGTCTTCAGACAGCAACTGGTGAGAAATGGGTTTATGACTTCTCCTCACCTCTCTAGAATTAACTGCATAGGCCCCCAGGGGTCCACAACCTAAAGACTTAATCAATGCACAAGCTGGATGTAAGATACCACTAACTCTAGTAGATGCCCAATGTCCTTTCTATAACAACATACTGCCTTCCAGTAGGTGTCTTTATTAGACAAGCAACAGCCCTTTCTGTTAAACTGAACAATTCTAATGAGTCAGTTCTGATTTGCCAATAGCTGCCCCAGATCATTCAGAGCCTTTTTGTTATAATTCTCAGAACCGAAGCAATAAACTGGAAGGAATTGTATCATTTATTACCTGGTGTGGTGCCTCACACCTGTAATCCCAGCAATTTGGGAAGCCAAGGTGGGCAGATTGTTTGAGCTCAGGAGTTCGAGACTGGCCTGGGCAACATGGCAAAACCCCATCCCTACCAAAAAATATAAAAATTAGCCAAAAGTGGTGATGTGCACCAGTAGTCCTAGCTAATTGGGAGGCTAAGGTGGGAGGATCACTTGGCCGGAGAGGTTGAGTCTGCAGTGAGCCATGATTGTGCCACTGCACTCCAGCCTGGGTGACAGAGTGAGACCCTGTCTCAAAAAAGGGGGAAAAAAGCTCATTTATCATTTAGCCTCTTAACTTTTGAGAGACAGTACTTGGGCCATCAGTCTGCTGCATCCTCACTGATTTTCAGTTAATGCTCTTACTATGAATACTAGTCCATAAAAAGTAGTTGATACTAATTGTTCAGTTCAGGGAACTGCTAACCTACACAGTTACTGAGAAACTGCTATGGGCAGAAATTACTCCATCTTCTGGGGATTCAGTAGTGAATGAGACAGACAGATCTTTGCTGTCATATATTTTACATTCTTATAGTTCCCACACCTGGCTTTCTAGAAATGCAGATCCTTGGGACCCACTCTAGATTTATTCACTTTTAAAGCCCTGCAGATGACTGAAATAGCTAAGTCCATGTCCAGCATTTGAGAAACAGTGGTGCATATTTCAGTTCTCAGCTTCTTCATCTGTTGTTTATTCCATACCCCACAACAATGCTTTCCCCCCTCATTACTTCACAGAGATTGGTCTTGTTAACATCAATGAAGTCCTGATAGCCGACTCCATGGATTATTTCCAACTTCATCTTACTTTCTCCTTGGTGGCATGATACCGCTGACCACGTCCTGCTTCTTGAAATTCTCCTCCCTTGGCTTTTGAAAGCATTCCCTTTGGGTCCTCCTCCTGCCTTCACTCTGGTTACTCCCTCTCAGTGGCCTACTGCTGACCCTCTTCCTTTCCCACTTGATAAACAATGGGGTTGCTCAGCACACCAGTCTCAGTCATTGCTTCTCACTCTCCAAGGAATCCCTGGGCAAATTCCCCCATACTCCTGCTTTAACTAGTCTCTGTCGATGACTTGAAACCCTGTCTAGGAGACCTCAGTCCCCAAGACCAGTAGCATTAGCACACAACACTCCACAGACCCAAAGATGCAGCCCAACTTTAAAGAAACAGAAGCCCATGCTCTCTTCCCAGAGAGTGAACTACACCTTTGGTTTAGAGAAGTCACCAGGTGAGAGTGGGCTTCTGCAAAGATGAGTGCTAAACAATATTTTTATGTTTTAAATTCTGAGCCTGAAGGGGAAGAAGGGATAAAAGCTATTGATTGAAGGATGAAAAGAACAGGGAAGAGAATTGGGTGGCATGAATGTGACATTGTTTGCGTATGTGTTTGTGTGTGTATATGCATACTATTTTTATGTATATGTATATTATATATAGTATATATAAAATATATGTGTGGATATATAGGAGACAATAACTATACCTACTTCACATGGTTATTATGAACTAATGTAAATAAAATACTGAACACTGTACCTGGTGCATAGTAAGGATGCATTCCTGTTAGCTTCTTTCCACTGTCTCCAAAATTTTACTTGCTTAAGTAAATACAAGAAATTTCTGTTTGAGTCAGATCCAGTTGCTAAGCTTAACCTTAGGCTAGAGAGTGGATAACTGCACTCCTGAAATTGCATGCATAATTTTGTATAAATATGCATATGTTTGTTTTTCTAAAGATGGAATCCTTAATTTTCATGAAATTCTCAGAGTTTTTGTCTCTAAAAATGTCCAGAATGCTTAGATATCATCTGCTGGTCAACATTTCAACAATCATTACTCATCTTTCTCATTCCTAAAAACACTATTTTCCCATCAAGACCTAGACCAGTCACTCAAAGATACTCCTTTCTAATAAAATTAATGGTGTCTTCATGCATGCGTGCATTCATTCATTTGTGATGACTCTATACCTGACATTGTGCTAAGCCCAGGGCACAGTGAAACACAAACTCTGTAAAATATTCAAAAGGCAACTACTTAACCTATGATGGTTTAAAGTCACTATAACATTTGAAAAAGGGGTGTCCCAACAGCTTAGGAGCAACAGCTTTAAAATGTGCTCCTGTCAACAGCAACAATTTTTTTTTCCTGAAGAAAGTAGAAAAGAGAGATCATTCAGTGGGGAATAAAAATGTAGCAGTGTTTTATCTTTAACTGGACAGAAGTTAGGGAGAGACAATCTCCCGGATTTTACCACCTTTCATCCTTGCCTCTTTCTTTTTAGTTTTTTTTTTTCTTTTTGGACAAAAATCTTCCCTTTATATTCCAGACTTTCTCATTATGAATTGTAGACTCTTGAAGTCTTGGAAATTGGTGGGCCCTTAATCCATAGATACAAAATATAAATTAGGTCTAATCTTGAAAATATCCAAGAATGAGGGTCTTACTAACATAGAGGGTCATTCTATATTATGGTGTGTCTAATTGGTAGTAATTTTTTCTTTCTTTTGAGCTGAAATTTACTCCAATTTTCAACCCAAAGTCCTAATTTCATCTTTTGGGACTATGCATGTCTTCTACATCAACATTTTTCATTAATGGGCCATTAAATCAATTTTGGAATTACATCTAGCATAATATTGAATGAAATTAGAAGAGGCCAAGATAGGATAGAAGAGGAAAGAATTGAATCAAATCTAATTGAATTGAATATTCAGAGTAGAAAACATCAGCATTTAGAGCTTGTAATAGTAACTCGTATTATAATTTCAGTTATTTATGTAAATGTGCGCTAGATTGTGTTATAAAAATATCTTTCTTACTTTTGGTTGCCATTGGAAATTTTGGAAAACACCAATTCCTTCAGATCTTTGAAGACTGTTGTGGAACTCCATGGGTTCTGTTCTCCAGATTCAGTATCCCAGTGCTCATGAAAATGCCTCATTTCGTTTGACTTTGTTTCCAGTCCCTTCCCTACTCTGGTCTCTCTTCTCAGACTGTGCTATCTTGAACTTTCCTCTTGAAGTAGAATCGCAGAATCTCCAAGCCAGGACAGGACTGGGAGAAAAGGGGACAATACCACACCTGGGGGCAAGGAGATAGGCAGCAGTTTTCCTTGCTTCCATGTTTGCCAAGTTTTCCAGTGTCTTCAGCAGTGGCATTCCAAGACCCTATTGCCAGAAAGCTTTCAGGAAAGTATTTGTAGGAAACTCAGATCAAAAAAATGCATATTGAACATCTACTCTACCAGGTCCCAGGCTAGTGCCAAGAGACAGAGAGATAAGACCCACCTTGTGCAGTCCAGGCCTACTCACCCTCATTATCTCATTGAATGTGTGAGCTATGTAGAATCATTTTCATATCATTTTATAGTAAGAGAACCAAGGATCAGAGAGGCATATAAGAAACTTCTTGATATATAGAATTTGTCATAAAACTTGCAATAAATGGTCAGCAGACCACTCATAATGTGATGTGGGTGACAATGGCAGTAGCTCTTAACTCCATTAGCACTTCATTGTTTTCAAGACACCCCTTATCCCTTATCCCAAGCATCTAGTGATTGTGTAGAACAGATAACAGCATTCTCATCTTCCAGGTAAGAAAACGGGCCCGGGAAGATTAAGCTACTGGTCCAAAGTCACACATCTAGCGATCTAGAGGATACTGTAGCTAGGATTTGAACTTGGGTTCCAACTCTAAATTCAATGCCATTCTCATGCCCCCAGCCCCCTACCCCTCAATGCCTAACACTGACAGTTTTCCCCAGAACTACTAAAGCAAACGGCTTTTTCTATTCCCTGGTCCATAAATTAAGAAAGAGGTCCTGGGGTGTTAATGTTCATTCCAATTAGCCTATTATGGCCAAGATGGCATTAGCCCTTGTGACTCTAAGATAAAAGGGATTTTTCCCACAAATGGCCGACAAGTTTGGGCCAAGTTGTAAACATTATTTCCATCCATCTTGGACTGCAGCAGAGTCTGTGGTCAGCGTGCCAGGGAATATATGAGAAAATCAGGCAGCCTTAATCTCTGCAGCATGTGGAAGGAAATAAAGACCACCTTGACTGATGGTTGACTTGATATGTCTGAAGGGGATTAAGTCTGGCTGTGACAGAAATGGCTGCGGAGTCACAGTGAAGAGAACTCGATGAGGTATGGCCTTCCAAGTTTAAACTTCTAATCTCAAAGGACCAGAGTGACTTCATAAGGAATTCAAGAAGAACGCAATTCACTCAACATATAATAGGATCCTGAAATCCTAAGAATGTTTTCCTGAGGCCAGAAAAAGGAAAGAAGTGTAGTGATGCCCGCTGTGGGAGGACTGGAGTCACAGGCAGGCTGTGCAGTGCTACTATGATAACTCAGCGCCAAAAAGGTGTTACAGGATTGATGACATTTGCAGGTATTGACACCTATCCAAATTCATCCTCTAAACGGAGAGCTTAATGGATAGAAAGCAAACGGCTAAACATATCTAAGCATTCACCCAAACTAGCAGACTGGCAAAGTCAAGCCCAGAAATAAATGGAGTTTAATCTCTGGAGTTTAACCTTCATACTGTCACTAGATTTTTTACGTGATTCTCTCCCACCTCCCCAAATGTTTTGCTTCCTCTGGAGCTTTGTCTTTTGATAATAAGCTCTGTTTGCATTTGCAAAATATACAAAGTGAACTTCCAGATGGACCTCTCAAAGTGCAATCTAAACATGAAGGAAACAAGAAATCCAAAAGTCAAAGGCGAGTGGGAGGTTTTCTTCTCCCCCAAATCTCTGGGGAGTCCAATTCATTCAACATGCTCACATTCTGGTTTCATTTCCATTTTCTATAATAAGAGATGAAGATGTAATATGTCAATGTTGATGTATCAGAGAGATGATGAATTCCAGGCTAAAACACGGCGACATCTGCTTGGAAACGAGATGGAAGAAATTAAGATGCTTACCATGATTATTTTCTTCCAGAGCAAATTTATAGTATCTTTGGTCTCAAGGGCAGAAATTCCAGACAGATTAGCTTTTCATCTCCTAGGTAACTCTCTGAACTGCATAGGTATAGAAATTCATTGCTTTAACACTGGGTGTCCTTATTAGGGAAATATCTTAAATTCTATGCCAACAAAGGAACTCATTGACTACTAAGCAATAGTCATGAAAATATTTATGACATGGATTACAAACAGGTGCTCCAAGTAGAACAAAAGCTGGGATTATTCACTGCTTGGACTAACTGAAAAAACATTATTTACATTAGCATAGCACATTTTATGCTTTTAGTAAATATTATTTTTCTGATTATGTGTCCTCATATTCTAGAAATGGCAACTTTGCTTACGTACCAGAGGGACTTGGAAACATGAATAGAGTTATATAAATAATAGGTGCTAGAGCATTGCCTGTACTACCCATTTATAAAATATTCAACAAAATCGTATTCAGTCCCTATTACATGCCTGTATTTGGATCTGCAGATGCAAAGATAAGTACAACATGACTCCGGTCTAGTTCAAAATTTGCTCAATTGGTTCCTATAAACTTTTTAAAGGAAGTTGTGTGAGCATTCTCATGTTCATTTCACAGATGACGAAGCTGAGGCTGGACAAGATCACACACCAGGAAGTACCAGAGTTAAGAGTGACACTCCAATGTCATTCTTCAGGCCCAGGGCTCTGTCCATTCCTTCATAGGCTGCTATGATTGAGAGGAGAGCCTGAGGGTATTTGGGTGACCCAAGGGCAATGGCTCACAGTGTCTAAGGGACATCAGAACTGGCCTTTTATCCAGTCCTAACATCTCATTGCTTGTCATTTTCATTTTTCATTCAAGTGTTTGGCACCAAGTAGACACAGCTGTAGTCTCAATCAAAACTAAATGATACTTTGCAGGAATTACTGAAATGCTCATTGAAAAACTATTCTCTTCCCATTGTTTTGAAATAATCCAATAAGGAAAGGGTCTTTTTTGGAATATCTTCTCTCAGAACTTTAGCGACAGGAATTGTGAAATGTTCCCCAAATATTGCTTGGCATGAAAACCTCTTTCAATGCAAATAAACCATTGATAAAAAAAAAAGAATTTGTTAAGGGGGACAGGAATTGGGGTGATGCTCATAAAAAGCTGCCAGAAAAGCCTTGGATTGCAAAGGAATGCCTGGGAGGCTACACAGGTCATGTGCAGCCAAAAGGAGACAACGAGGATATTTTACAGCCATCTTAGATACTATAGATTTTATTTTTTTATTGGCAGAATCAATGTGACTATTCCATAATAATCAGGATAAGATGAAAACAAAACAACAAAATGGAAATATTTTAGGGGTTACAAAACTTCTAGATTTGAGGATTCCCTCACCTGCTAGTTCTGTGATCTTAGGCAAGTCATGGAATGTCTCTGAACTTCCATTTCCTCATCTCCAAACTGAAGACAGCAGTTCCTACCTCATAGGATAAATATGACGATGAATTTGAAAGCACACACTAAATTGTAAAACATTATACAAACCAAGGTTTTTCTTTCCTATTTACACAAAAAAATTCAAGTCCAAATGCAGTGTTGAGCAGCTCTCTATGCTCAAACATTATCCATCACTAGTCTAACTTTTAGCTGCCTCCAGCCTTGGTCACAGTCACCCTGCCTCTTTTCTAAGAATGAGCATCCGGGGAGCGCCTCCTGTGGGTGCTCTTTAAAGCTTCAGTTCTGTGATCACAGACAGGGAGTTCTTGCTGCATCCTTTGGGAAATCAAGGCCTCTGATTCGTCTTCCCAGCACTCTGACCCTCAAAAGGACCCCAGTGACTGCACTGAGATGACTGAGAGCCATCTGGGGATGGACTCAGCATTTCTAACCCCTCCAGCCTATTCCTTCAGCAGTTCTTCTCATCCCAATAAATAGCAACTCCATTCATCAAGGTTCTCAGATCAAAAAGTGGCACTCATCGTTGACTCTTACGTTCCATTCCCCCGATATCTATATCCAATCTATCCCACAAGGACTATCACTTTCATTTTCAAAATATATCCTGAACACAGCCAGTTCTTATCTCCACCAATACCACCTTCCCCCAACCCACAAACATCCCCTGTCTGGAACACTGCAAAAGGGTCTTCACCAGTCTTCCTTTTTCTACCTTCACCAGCTGATTGTCTATTCTTCCTATGGCAACCAGAGTGATCATTTAAATACATTAATCAGATCAATCACAAAGACCCCCCATGTTTTCCTGTCTCATTCAAAATAAACTCCAAAGACATTATCATGATCTGTGAGACCCCTGCAGATCTGGCTTACCCTGACCCCTCAACCTCACTTTCTTCTGTCTCCTTGTTTGACCTCACTTTAGCCCCTTCTGTTCTCTAATCCAACAACCACTCTCTTGGTTCAGGAAATTGGTGCTTGTCATTCCACTTGCACAGGACAGTTTTAGCGCAGACATTCAATGCTTTTCTTCATTACTTAATCCATGATTCTGCTCAAACATTACTTCCCCAGAAAGGCCTTTTCTGATCTCCTCGGCTGCTTTTTTTTTTCATAACACTATATTATATTAAATTTTTGTATTATATATTATATTAATTACATTCTTGTTTATTGTCTGTCTCCCCATGGGAATATACGCCCCATGAGGGCAGGCATTTAGTTTATTTATCTCCTTATCCCCAGCATTTAGATTAATGTCTGGTACATTTTAGATGCTTTAAGAGGCTCTGTGAAGCATCCTTGACCCCATAAGGAGACCCAAGCTGTCTTTCAGTTGGATCATTGGTATAATCAAGGGTTTAGAGATGTATCATGTATCAACCAAAACGTGGTTGTCCTGAGAGATGGACTACCAAGAATTACTAAAAAGTACAATGTTTCCGGCAGAATCTGGCACAGCCATGGGGCCTGACAGAAACCTCCTCAGAGCCAGAGGGACTCTGAACTCAAGCCTAGTTCTCTTGGATCTGATTTCACCAAGGTGTTCCCCGATCTAATACCATCTCCCAGTTGGCATAAGCCCAAGAAGGGAGGCCTTGCCCTAATTCAATGAAGGAGAAGCCTCCACTTCCATGTCTTATATTGCTGGCATAGTTTAAATCCATCATTTACTGAGGGCCTACTCCATGCCAGGGTTTGGGCTAAACACTGTGCATGCTTTATATCATTTATATTATTTAAGAAATAAAATATTATTTCTATTTTATAGGTAAGAGAACTGAAGCTCACAGAAGTTAAGTATATGACCAAAGTTATACAGATGGAAAATGGAAAAATTGACATTTGAATTATACTCTAAACAGTGCTACTTCCTAATGTGTTTGAGCTGAGTAGATTGCTCCTGCACTATCCCCCAGAGGTAGGTGACTAGGGCTTCTGAGCTAGTTCTTGCAGTATAAACAGATACTGAATAATTTCTGTAAACTGATAAGCAGGGACATTGAGCTTGGACCACACTGACTGGTGTAGGGACCACCGGTGGCTGCAGCCTCTGACACTCAGGAGGCTGTGAGAGATGTGACCTCCTCTCAGGGACTGGGAGGGTGCTCAGCTGTGGTTTGATCCCAAAAGGAGACTCTGGCCATTTGGACTAGACTGAGCTGGAATCATGGGACTCACCCACCCACAGAAAAGGTGAACTTTAGCTTGATTAACGATTGTGAAACTCTTTAAGTTTCAGTTCCTAGGGACTGCCTTTTGTTCTAAGCCAATTCTCTTGAAATCTCTAAGCTATGAAACCTGGTCACCAGGAAAGTATTTGTAAATATCCTCCAAGCAGGGCTGTCCTCTGGGCTGGGGACAATGTCCTGGCCCCAAAGTCATACCAGGTCCTTGCTCTGAAGTTGGCAGAGGAGATGGGCAAGTGTTTGTTCCATACATCTAAAGAGATTGTTTCCAAGCAGGTACCACTGAGCCCTGATAAAGGCACTTAGCACCTCTCTTGGGAGAGGCTGGGTACTATCCCTTTTGCAGCTTCCAAATCCCAGTGCACTCTGAAGTAAAAAGTTTCTTTACCCAGGATGCGAGAAGCTAAAATCCCTACTAATCAAGACATTCAGACTTCATACAAATATCAGTTCTTGTGATCCCCAAAACTCTTTCACTACGCATTTCACAGGCATCACCAATAACCAAAGTTATTCTTCTCTCCAGAGCATGCTGAGAGAGAAAGCTCTTTTACTGAAGATAGTTTCTTTGACATTCACACTCCAACAAGGATAGTCTCTTCTGGGCCTAATTTGACTTCTTTATGTGCCAAGAGGAAACTTTCTCTCTGAAGGGCAGGCACACAGATATCTGAAGAGGTCTTTAGGAGGCACTTTATAATTTCCTTGAATTTGCTAGAATGTTTGGAGAATAATGTGTATTGATTAGCTGTCTCTTTCGAAATGCTTAAAGTTCTCCTACCCTTTGATTTTTTAAGAGGAATTAACAGTGAATAAGCAAAAAAAAAAAAAAAAAAAAGAAGAAGAAGAAGAATATACCAACTCACTCACTCATGTTTTCTAACTAAAAGGAGTGTGGCCTAAAGACCATTATATGTAACAGGGTCCATGCTAGGACACTGAAAGCTAAGCAGCTCTTTCTGATAAATTTGAAATTGGGGCCGGGCGCGGTGGCTCACGCCTGTAATCCCAGCACTTTGGGAGGCCGAGGCGGGTGGATCACCTGAGGTCTGGAGTTCGAGATCTGTCTCACCAACATGGTGAAACTTCGTTTCTACTGAAAATACAAAATTAGCCAGGTGTGGTGATGCATGCCTGTAATCCCAACTACAACTACTCGGGAGGCCGAGGCAGGAGAATTGCTTGAATCCGGGAGGCAGAGGTCGCAGTGAGCCGAAGTCATGCCATTGCACTCCTTCCTGGGCAACAAGAGTGAGACTCCATCTCAAAATAAATAAATAAAAATAAAATAAAATAAAATAAATTTGAAATTGGGGACATGGAAATAAGAGAGGTGGCAGTGACTCCTTGAGACTGTGTCATAAGCTGACTCTGACACTAAGAAAGACAGTATGACTAGACAGTGACCCCAGGAGTCTAGGGCTGAGATCAGGAACACATGACGCTGAGCTGCCCAGCAGGAAGGGAAGTAGAGCTCTAATGATACCACAGCTGTGCCATTTAACACACACTACTAGCTGTGACACTCCTAGGCCAATTCTAGTAGATAATTCTGCTTCCAACAAATAACCTGAAACAAAAATAATAATAAAAAAATTAAACCTATGCTCAATGATGTGATAGCAACATTAGCACATCCAAATTTTTTTTTAACTACAGGGTCCTATATTCTGGGCCTCTCAACCTTTTTCCTTGCAGCCCCAGGCCTTACCTGGTCATCCCAGGACACTGACATTTTGGATACTGAGGACCCATCGATATGCCATGGCTGGGAAGCTTTGCTGGTGGAAAGAACACTGGATTTAGAAACAGAAGACCTGAGCTCCATTTCTGATTGCTGTTACTAGCTGTGTAACTTTGCACAAATCACTTAAATTTTTGGGTCCTGTTGTTGCATCTATGAAATGCAAATTCTAAAAAATTCAAAGGACTAATCTTATGAAGAAGGCAGTATCATCCGCCATGCTACAGGTGAGAAAACTGTGGCCATGGAATTAATAAGGAAAAAAACACCAAGACAATGTAAGAGTCCACAGATTACGCTGCTAGTGTCTCTACACCATGATTTCTTGAGATAGTCTCAAGTGAGGAGGAAAAGGAGTACTCCAGAGCTTCTCAGAGCTGTGAGAAGCCCAGGCAGGGGTGTGAGTAGAGAGGGAAGAGAATGGCAATGGAGTACTGCTTAGCTATTTAACTCACTCACTCTAAATAGCTTAGCTACTTAGCCCACTCACTCTCACATCCTTCGGATTCACCCTAATAGCATCTAATGGGACAGAAGGCAGGTTCCTAAATCCCTGAGGGCTTCTGCAAGTGGGCATGCTTCATGAGCAGAACAAAAGGCTTGGTGTCCATTCAAGGGCGCCTTTGCTTCTCCATTAAATTCCTTTGACATTCGATGCACTGTGCGTTAATTAATTAATTAACGCACAGTGCATCAAAAGTTTCACATTAAACTTCCTCCGTTCAGCTCAGTTTTGAGGCCAAGGAGGCAAAAAATAACAGCTCCTGAAACCATTTTCTTTTTTTCAAGGTGCTTTTTGAGGAAGTTCACTTCACAACAAAGGAAGTAAAACAGAACCTTTGTCATGATCTTCTTTCCAGCTTTCCTGTAACCTTTGGGTCCAACCTCAGTGCCAGCCCTGCCCCCACCCCCACTCCTCTGACAGGTCTCTGTGACTGCCTCACCTCCTCTGGGAAGCCTTCCCTGACTACCACCACAGTGTCAGTGAGCTTCTCCACTCTTTCCATCCAAAGCACTGCAGCCTTTCCTCTGCAACACATCACATGCTTGTGCATGCTTTGGCTTCGTACTTATTGACTAAGTGCCTGCCTTCCCATGAGATTCTGAGCTTCATGAACACAGTGGCTGTATCTGTTTGGTTCACTGCTGAGCTCACAGAGCCTAGGTCAGTGCCTGGCATATGTGTTGGTCAAATCCCCCTGTTTGTTAGTTTTTCCTTCCTCTCCCCAACATCTGAGTCATCAACACCAAGAGCTGTTCACAGAACACCCACAGTGTGTGGCATTGCATTGGGTGACACAGAGCCCAGGAACACATCTTCAGTTCTAGAGTGAGCCAGTGCTAAGCCCAGAGGCAGCCATGGTGGCATGATGGAAAAAAACAGCACATTTGTGATGAGGAAACTGCAGCAGGGCATTCTGCTTTGAATCTCAGTTTCCCCATCTGTAAAATAGGAATACAAACACTTATCATGCCTATCTCGTGAAGCTATTCTGAAGATCACATAGAAAGATGAAAGAAGTTTATAAACTGTGAAACCCTGTACCACAAATGACAACTTTCATTGTTGTTTTTTATTGTGGTAAAACATACATAACATAAAATATACCACTGTAACCTCTTTTTTCTTTTTTCTTTTTTTTTTCTGAGACGGAGTCTCGCTCTGTCCCCCAGGCTGGAGTGTAGTGGTGTGATCTCAGCTCACTGCAATCTCCACCTCCCGGGTTCAAGCGATTCTCCTGTCTCAGACTCCTGAGTAGCTAGAATTACAGGCATGCGCCACCATGTCCGGCTAATTTTTGTATTTTTAGTAGAGATGGAGTTTCACCATGTTGGCCAGGGTGGTCTCGAACTCCTGACCTCATGATCCTCCCACCTCGGCCTCCAAAGTGTTGGGATTATAAGCGTGAGCCACCACACCCGGCCTGTAACCATTTTTGATTGTACAGTTTCGTGGCTTAAGTACATTCCCATTGTTGTGTAACCATCACCATCATCCCAACTGAATGTACAATTTTTATAAGCAGGATAAAAGGCAGGCAATTTTTCTTAAGCCCTCTTTTCTTAAGCAGTCCTTAGCCCTCCCTCTTCTCCAAGCCCCTTCACAGGCCTGTGGTCTTAGAGCTCTCATGGCCTGATGCCTTGTTTCATGCATGCAGAAACTGCGAGCCAGATGGGGAAAGGACCTGCTTAAAATCCCACAGAACTGGGACTAGAACCTGGGTATCTGGTATTCTTTCCTCCAATCCACCTCCCACAGCAAAAGAGTGATGCCTCTACAAACCAAGGGCTGCCCAGGATTGCCAGAACACAAAGGTTAGGAAGAGACAAAAAAGAATTCTTCCCTAGAGACAGAAAAGAATTCTTCCCTAGAGCCTCTGGAGGGAGTGTGGGTCGCAGACACCTTGATTTTAGGTATCAGGCCTACAGAAATGTGAAAAAATACATTTCTGTCATCTTAAGGCACCCTAATTTGTTACAGCAGCCCTAGAAAACAAATAGAGGAAGTATTAAAATTCCCATAAGATAGTTATAATTGAAAAGTGTCCTGGCATCTTTAATCTTTATAACAACAACATGAGGAGGGTATGAAATCTTGTGATCAGCCCCTTTTTATGGTGAGGCAACCGAGGCCAGAGATATAAGGCAAAATGCCAAGATCACAAGAGAGTAAGCATGGGGGCTGATACTCAGATCTGTATCCATCCTAAGCCAGTTCCAGACAGATGCTCCTAAGGACCATAACCCACTTCCAGTATTCATCCTTCACTGCCTCCTGGAGACACACAGTGTAGAGTTGGGTCTCTTTGCTGTCAAGAAAGCATCAGAGCAGTGCAGACCTGACAAAACCACAAGCCCTTAGGCACATCTAGACCTCAGCCAGGCCTACTCCTGGGTTTTAAGTCAAGCCTTCTCAGATCTAACTTCCTAACTGACTCGTGGGGACTCAAAGATAATCCAGAAATCTCATAGATTTTTGGTAAATTGGATAAATTGTCTTGATCTATTAAGATAAAATTGGACTACATTTGAAAAGGTGAAGTGCAGTCAGCTTGTTATTGACTTTGAATGTGAAAACACTTCGATTTAAGTAATTTCTCCTAGTCATTAATTCTCCTAAAAAGAAATTTACCTAAAAGTCGTCTCCCTTAAAGTGTTTTAAAAGTTAGATGAAATTAAAATAAGAATGTTAAAATGAAATTAAGCAATTGTCTTTAAGATTTTAGCTAAGTGGCTGGGCGCGGTGTCTCACGCCTGTAATCCCAGCACTTTGGGAGGCCGAGGCGGGCGGATCACGAAGTCAGGACATTGAGACCATCCTGGCTAACATGGCGAAACCCCATCTCCACTAAAAACACAAAAAATTAGCCAGGCGTGGTGGCACGTGCCTGTATTCCCAGCTACTTGGGAGGCTGAGGCAGGAAAATCACTTGAAACCGGGAGGTGGAGGTTGCAGTGAGCCGAGATCGTGCCACTGCACTCCAGCCTGGGTGACAGAGCAAGACTCCGTCCCCTCCTCCCAAAAAAAAAGAAAAGATCTTAGCTAATTGACCTAGAGCCTTGAATGTCAAGCTAAAGAGTTCTGACTGTTCTCGAAGGACATCATAAAAGGGCTGTGGGTCAGGAATGATGTGCTCTTTAGAAGGGCTAACCTGACATCCATGAGAAAGATGGATTTGAGAAGAGACGAAGAACATTCAAGGTGGCTGGGGAAGAATCGCAAGGAGAGAGCTGAGACCAGGGCTGGGACAGGAGTCGAGTGAACAGACAAAGATGCATTGTAGATGGACAGTGGCATTTGCTCCTGGCTGGCTGGGGGGAATCAAAAAGGAAGAAGGCTTGGATTTTAACAGTCAGAAGAAAGTGAAAGGAAGAGAAGGGCAGATGTCAGCAGGAAGACAAGCCTGGACAGTGGCCACACCAGGGTATACGTGACCATGGGAAACCCGACCACTTATATGAATACTAGTCTGCTCATTTTTGGACTTGGTTTTAGTGTCAGAAATATAAACTTCTGTCTTGTTTAAGTTGCTGATATTTTGGTTTTCTCTCCCTTGCACTCAAACATAATGAATACTATTACTGGGGCTGTCCATCTTCCTCACAAATACAACCTTCTTTGTTTGTTTATTTGTTTGTTTGTTTGTTGTAGAGATGGGGTCTCATACTGCCACCCAGGCAGTCTCACAGTTCACTGCAGCCTTGAATTCCTGGACCCCAGCAATCTTCCTCCCACAGACTCCCAAGTAGCTAGGACTACAGGCTCACGTGACCATACCCAGCTAATTTATTTATTTATTTTTTAAGATGAGCTCTCTTTATGTTGCCTAGGCTGGCCTTGAACTCCTGGCCTCAAGGGATCCTCCCATCTTGGCATCCTGAGCAGTTGAGGTTACAGCTGGGAGCTACCACAACCAGCTTACAATCTTCTTTGAAGAAATAACTACTTCATCTCCCAGAATATTCCACAGTTCTGAAAGACACCTCTTCTCTGGTTCCCATATTCAATCTGTCTCCAACACTTACAGTTTCTCCCTTAAAGATAAGTCTAGTGCCTTTGATGATGCTCTTGCCTGGGCGACCACTCACTCAGTGTGGCATCTCTCCTCTATTCCCATCAACACAAACACTTCTTAGAGCCTGATGTGCACTCCCCTGCTGGAGAACCCTGAAACCTGCCCCAGTGATTCTCAATGCCCCACCTGACTTCCAAGTCTATCCCATACCTGCTTGGACTGATCTGATATTTTCCCCCACCTTTTTCCAACATAAATTTGAGTTCTAATCAGGCCAGTATTTGTTCCAAAATAGCATGCCCATTCCCAGCTCCATAATTCACCCCATATATTCTTTCTATATGGAATATCTTCTCACCCTCCACTTGGCTATCCTGCATTTTCAGCCATCTCTATCTTTCAAGGACTTGAGCCAATAGATAGCAGCAGATATGAGTTGAGCCAAGACAAAAATCTAGCAAGCCTGTAAGCAAGCTCCCAGCTAGACTGTAAGCAACTTGAAAGCAGAGATCCTGTCGAATGCCTCCTCAGCATCAACCCACTCCCACAGTTCTAAGAAGAGTGATCAGTACTGAATCTTAAGAGATTCTTCGGATGAGAGTAGAAAAATGATGTAAAATCATTGAAAAATTCACAAATAACTAAAACTGTGTGATAAAATAGATCCCCACACATAAATACAAATGGATTCAAAAATTAAAATAGAAAACCACACTCATTAGGATAGCTACCACACACACACACACACACACACACACACACAGAGAGAGAGACAGAGAGAGAGAGGGAAAGAGAGAGAAAGAAACAATAACAAGCATTGGTGAAAATGTGGAGAAAGTGGAATCCTTGTGCACTGTTGATGGGAATGTAAAATTGTGCAGCCAGTGTGGGAAACAGTATGGAAGTTCCTCAAAATACTAAAAATATAATTACTGTATGATCCAGAAATTCCACTTCTGTGTATATGCCCAAAAGAAATGAAAGCAGGATCTCAACAAGATATTTGTACACCTATGTTCATAGCAACATCATTTGCTATAGTCAAGAGTTGAAAGCAACCTGATCGTCCATTGAGGGGTGAATGGATAAAGAAAACATTGTATATACATACAATGGAATATTATTCAGCCTTAAAAAGTGCTATGGTTTGAATGTTTGTCCCCTCCAAAACTCACGTTGAGATTTAATCACCATCATACACCATATTAAGAGGTGGGACCTATAAGAGGTAGTTGGACCATGAGGTCCCACTCTAATATGTGGGATTGGTGCTCTTATAAAAGGACAAATTCAGCTCCCTCTTGCCCTCTCTTGTCTTTCAGCCTTTTGTAATGGGATGACACAGCAAGAAGGCCTAGCCAAATGCTGGCCTCTCAGTCTTGGGTTTCCTGGCCTCCAGAACTGTAATACAATAAATTTGTGTTCATTATTATTACCTCACCTCTGGTATTCTATTATAGTTGCAAACACAAAGACAAAAAGGAAGGAAATTCTGACACATGCTACAACATGGACAAATCTGAGGACATTATGCTAAATGAAGTAAGCCAGTCACAAAAAGATAAATACCATACAATTCTGCTTATGAAGTACCTAGAATAAGCAAATTCATAAGGTCAAAATAGAAAGGTGGTTGTCAGGGGCTGAAGAAGGGAGGGGGCAGAGGGAGCTGCTTAATGGGTACCAGAATTTCAGTTTTGCAAAATGAAAATAATTCTGGAGATTAGTTATACAACAATGTGAGTGTACTTAATATTATTGAACTGTATACTTGAAAATGATTATGGTAGTAAATTTTATGTGTATTTTACCACAATTCTAAATAAAAACATTTTTCATAAAATTAGACTCTATAAGGATTTGGTTTTCAACTCTGGCAGCACATTTCAATAACCTGGGGAATTTTGAAAATAAAACATTGATTCTCCCTCCCCCTCCCCCAGAAATATTTATCTAATTGGTTTGAATGATTCTAATACATAGCCAGGGGAATCACTGGTGTAGGAATTAGAAAAAATGTCAGTAATTCACATATATTTTATTTTTATAATTTCAACTTTTATTTTAGATTCAGTGGTACATATGTAGGTTTGTTGCATAGGAATATTGCGTGATGCTGAGGTTTGGGGTATGATTGCTTTCATCACCCAGGTAGTGAGCATAGTACCTAATAGTTTTTCAACCCTCAGCCCTCTCCCTTCCTCCCCCATTTAGTAGTCCCTCATGTCTATTGTTGCCATCTTTTTGTCCATGAGTACCCATTGTCTAGTTCCTACTTATAGGCAAGAAAATGCATTATTTGGCTTTCTGTTCCTGCATTAATTTGCTTAGGATAATGGCCTTCAGCTGCCTTCATATTGCTGCAGAGGATACGATTTGTTCTTTTTTATGGCTGTGTAGTATTCCATGGTGTATATGTACCACATTTTCTTTATCCAATCCACTGTTGATGGGCATCTAGGTTGATTCCATGTCTTTGCTATTCACATGTATTTTATGGACAAAGAATCTTAGAAGAAATGTATGAGAGCTAGAGAAAGAGCTCAAACCTTAGTTTAATGTACCTGAGGTTTTGATTCCTATCCTACCACTCTTTAGCTTTGTGACACTGGGCAACTTATGCCCCAACGCCTGTCAAGGTACTCAGTGTCCAGCCTGATGCCTAGCATACAGTAAACTATCAATAGATAATAAATGAATGAATAAATAGCATGTCTCTGTAGGAATGTAGTTAATACATGGTCACTCTATTTTGATAATTATCTACTAGAAACAATAAAAGTAGAGTCCCAAAATAGTGCTGGTATACAGTAGGCATACAATAAATGATAGATATGTCATTCCACAAATAATGTGGAAAGACCTTTAGAGATCATCTAATTCAACCTTCTCATTTAGCAGGTGAGAATATTGGGGACCAATTAGGAGAGCAATTCTTTACCCAGCATCCATTTTATCATATATAATAGCCTTCCGCATTCTTAACTTTGGGTATCTGAAATGTTTTAGTGTAAACACTTACAGTAAGACTTCTAAAAATCGATGCTTCTGTTCACTTATGACAGGAATTAGGATATATTCAAATAATCCTCCAAGTACCTTGCTCATTCATGTCAGATGGCAGAATGTAACTCTTTATAACACTCTGTGGGACATCAAATCTGAGATGATGACTTGAGACTCCACAGGTCTGAGTTACTCTATGTATTGAAGACAATTTCCGGGGGTTCCCTGGAGGGTAAATCACTCCTTGCTAATTGTCAAGAGTTTTCTCTAAAATGAAGCTCCAGAAAAGCTTCCAAACTTTAAGACCTTAGTGACCTACCAACAGCCCTGTGGCTTTCACTTATGTTCTGACAGCCCCTATGAAGTGTGGCCAGAAGGAGGGGTGCAGACCACCTGTGAGGGCTGGGCAGGCCACCTGCAATCTCAGAGTCACTTTCCCAGATTCCCAGATTCTCACTCCCATGTATGCCAAAGTCCAGAAGCATTGTCATTCTAGGGACCATTTAACAATTCATTCATTCCAGTGTTTGACATCTTACTGAGCATATACTCTGTGCAGGCTCTGTGCTTGGCTCCATACCTACAAAGTCAAGGAAGATATTCCTCTGAACATCAAGGAGCTTAGAATCTACTGGAAGATACACAAGCAGCAGATGATGTAGTACTCTGTGATCATTTAATGATTCAATAAAAAACTTTTGAGTGACCACTGTGTTCTAGGCATAGATTCACATACAGAAAGGCTGTACAGAATAATGGTCAAACCATAAACTCAATGCCCATGCTGCCTGAATTTGCACCCTAGCTCCACTGTTCACTACCTGTGTGACCTTGGACAACTGACTTAACCTCTGTGTGCTGCAGTTTCCTCATTTGTAAAATGGAGATAATAATGCCACCACCCTCCCTCGGTGATTGTGATGACTCAGTGCATTCATATATGTAAAGCCTAGAATAGTCTCCTGGCATATAGCAAGTCCAGAGTAGGTTTCTGTAGAATTCTAAGCTTCATGAAGGCAAGGACTTTTGCAGCTAAGTGTTTGTCAAATGGATAAATGAATTTCTGTGGGAGATTTGCCAGCAACATGGCAGGCTAAGCTGGAATTAACTGATTATTCTCTATACTTCCAACACATATATGTTGGGCAATATAGAAATAAACACTTACAAAATACATATCTGGGCTCCAAAGAAAGATAAATGTCCAGATACTTCAAAATCAAAGGAAGAAATCACAGGCAGAGGTTTAAGTGGAAGCTGACACATTAGAAGTCTCAGGAAATGCTGATTATTGTAATAGTGGTGGCGGTGATGGTAGTAGTGATGATGGTGGTAATGCTTATGATGGGGATGATGATGATGAAGATGATGGCTGGATGAAGATAAGTCTCAAGAAGAATTACAGGGCACCTTAAGATAAGAACAGTGTTCCCAGAATAATTGTTTAAGAAGTCATTCTTTTATGTGTTTTGCCTGTGGCACTCCCATAATTACCAGATAGATCTTGGCCTCCCTGAAGTTGGAACTACCTATCTTATCACTCCATCTCAGCTGTTCAGGTTCATGAAATGAGCATTGCAATCAGTAAACTGAACCAAGCTTGGGAATTGCTGAGGCACTATCCTCTTGTTCTGGAACACCTATACATAAAATCAGAGACCCAGAATCTAATGTGTAGAAGAAACATAACATGTCAGCAAGTCAAACTCCCACCCAGTGGTTCATGTAACTGCTCATCATAGCCACAAAGCTTGCTCAGCCTACCAAGCATTTCTAAGGAAAGTATCCACTTTCACAGGTCTGGTAGAAGAGATTAATGTTCTGTTTCCTTTCAGCCTGCAGTAACCTATTGTAGCTCTAGGTTCTTGGGATACCAATCTATAAGGGACGATAAAACATCACTGAAATAAATAGGAATATGGTGCCAGCCTACTCAGGTTTCCACATGACTTCTTTAAGTAACTAGCAAAATATGAATTGGAACTGCTGAAACCATACAGACAGCACATTGGAGTAGAAATTTTAAAAATATTCTTAGCCGGCACTAACCAATACAAGGTGAGTGTTTTAGTTCTTTGCATGTGCAAAGTGTACAGTACAACTACTGGATGAGCCACCAACTCTGAGGTCAGCTAGCTAATATTCTAAAATTGAATAGTCTACTCCATTTGCAGAATCCATAAATAATTTTTAAAAATCTAGTAATACATAGTGTAGTGTTGCTCATTGGGAATGAGTGATCCATTTAATTATCTATATCCTAAACCCTTTATTATACTTCCCTCAAAGCTATCTGATTCTGAAAATAAAAATTCCTAGATGATTCCAAATAAGTTAAAGGGTTATGCTACATTGAGTAGACATAATAAATCTTTTATTTTTTTTACAAAGAGAGGCACATCATTTTTATAACTATAAAATTAGTGTCTCACAGAACCTACTAAATAAATATTTAAAGATTCTCCTTTTCAAAAGCACCACATGTCTCACTTTAGCCCTGGTTCTGTCATTGTAAACACACTCCTGTCCCCTGCCTCTGGTCCCCCAAACACTTACACTCATGCTGGCTACCCTCTGAAAGCCAACTTTGCTCCTAGACAATCAGGAATTTCTGAAGGAAAGGTGGTTATTGGGAGATTTCAGTTCCCCTCCCCACTGTCAGGGGCAGCATAGCATGTTGATTAGGAACCCAAAGTCAAATTTTCTGTGTTCATTTTCTGGCCCTGAAATAACCATATGACCACTCAATAATCATGTTACCCTAGGTAAGTTACTCAACTTTTCTGTGTCTGCTACCTCATCTATACAACAAGGGTAATAGTAATAGTGCCTTACTCATAGTGCGCTTTTGAGGGACAATGAGTGAACACCTGGAAAGCTTGAAGGACAATGCTTGGCACATAGAAGCACCCAATAGGTATGAGCCATTATTATTCTTGCCACTGTGTCTTCTTCAATTCTGGGCACGTCTTTCCTTCTCTCCACTGTTTCTCAGGTTCACGCCCCCTCCCACCCAAATTTCTGTCATGATTTGGGGCTGGGGCTATGGAATACAGTAGTAGACATTAGGGAAGATTTCATGAAGGTGATGACATTCAAGCTGAACCATAAAAGATGTCTTGCTCCTTATTTGAGTGCTTTTCAGAAAATTAGGAAATTAAGAAATTGCATAATCCCCTTGAAATTCTTTATAGGATAATTAGGGCCCCCTCAGCTTCCTTCTGTATATTATCAGACTGATATATTTAGCGCTCTCTTTCCCTTCCTTTTATGTTACATCTTCCCAACCTTGGTGTTATGCCTTTTATCCTTCAGAGATTTTCCCCTAACTTTATCTTTTCTGAACTTTCTGAGCCCAAAGGCATGCCATGTGCCAGCTGCAGTAGCACCAGGGCTTAGCAGAACAGGGTAACACATCCAAATTTTCCTTGAGCTCTCTATTCCTAAAAATATAATTAGCTCTACAGAAACCACACACAAGACTTTATTCAGCTGAAAATAAAATGAAGTGGTTTATTGGACCCAAACTGCTTTATATTTGTGCAATTTCTGTCAGTTTCACACATTAATTGTAATTATACTAAGAGAAGAATTATGGGATAACTGTCAAGTGCACAGACTGTAAAACTGACAGGGCTGCAGTAGGTTATGCATATTATTCACTGCACAGAGGCAATCAGCTGAGGGGTGAGTGGGGCCTCAAATCTACTCAGAAGAGGCACATTTTTCTATTTCCTACAACAGTACCATATGGGCTATAGTGCTTACATACAGGGGGATTGAGTAAATAAGTAAGTATATTAAGGGTAGTGGGGCCCTGATTTCTCATTTTCAGAGAAAGGAGCTCTAAATATGAAAAGGGTTTTTATACAGTAATGGGGCTATACTCTTCAGAAACATCAATGTCATGAAAGATAAGGAAAGAGTAAAGAACTGTTTCAGACTAAAATGACTCAATAACTAAATGCAACCCATGATCCTGGGTAGTATCCTGGATCTGTAAAAGACATTCATAGGACAATTGGCAGATTTCTAATGCAGTCTATGGATTCCCATGGTTGTACTATGGGTATGTAGGACAATGTCCTTGTTTCTAGAAATACACGTTGAAATATTAAGGAGTACTCAGGCATCTTGTCTGCAATTTACTCTCAAATGGTTCAAAATAATATATACAAATAGAGAGAGGCAAATGTGACAAAATGCTAAGGACTGGGAAATCCAGGTGAAAGTGTATAGGATTTCTCATGCTGTTGTTTAAAATTTCCATAGATATGAAATTCTTTCAATTAAAAAGTGTTTTTTTTTCTAATTGGTGAAGACAAATCTTTTTGCTCTGCAGTATTTTTAGACCAAAAAGATGACAAGAGAATTCATCACTAGCAAACCTGCACTAAAATAAATACTAAAGGAAATTCCTCACACAAAAATAAAAATAATTCCTCCAAAACATTGAAATGCAAGAAGAATAAAGAATAATGGAAAGAGTAATTAACATGTTCTAAAACCCTAGCATTGTCAGAGAAGTGATAAAAGTACTCATTTACATTATACTATAAGTCAAGTTTGCATGTTCTAATTGTTAGGCTAGCTATTAAAGACATAGTAAAAAATATGTAACTAACAAATGATAAAGAGGAAAAATGTTATAATAATAATAATAATAATAGAACTTCACTAATCCAAAAACAGAAAGCAAGAAGAATGAAAAACAAACAGAACAGGTAAGTCAAGTAGAAAATGAATTTTTAAATAACTGTACAAACTAATATACATATTTCTATAAATACTAAATACTATTAAAATACAAAGATTGTCAAACTGAATAAAAATATAAAACCTAGTCAAGCTACATGTGAGTCATTTCTTAGAGACACGGAAATATTGAAAGTAAAAAGATAGTCAAGATCTATCATATAAACATTAACTAAAATAAAGTTGATATAGGTTTACAAATCAGTAAGGTAAATTTTAAGATAAAAATTATTACCAGAAATAGAGACACCTTTGATAATAATATAAGGTTTTATTCACCAGGAAGATATAACAATCTCTAAATTTGTATGCATCTGATAACATAGTTTCAAAATACATAAGGTAAAAATTTATAGAACTAAAAGTAATAGTTGAATGCACATCAGTGTGAAAAACTTTAACATACTTCTCATAATAATGAGTAGAATAAGCAGGGAGGGAAATCAGTAAGAACAAAGAACACCAAAGCAATGCAATAAACAAACCTAATCTAATTGATGTTTATAAAACACTGCAAAGAAAGAATAAATGTTCTTTTCAGTGCATAAGGAGCAGTTACTAAAATTGACATATACTAAACCACAAAGCAAACCTTAACAAATTTCAAAGGCCTGAAATCTTTTAAAGTCTGTTTTCTGACCACAGTGGAATTAAGCTATACCAGTTATAAAAAGATGACTCTAAAATTCCCTTATGTTTGGAAATTAGATGATATCATTCTAAATAACCTCTGTGTCAAAGAAGTGATGATACTGGAAATTAGAACATATTTTAAATTGAATGGTAGTGATTCTACAGCTTATGAAAGCATGGGAGAAGTTAAAAATGTGCTGAGAGAAAAATAGGTTTAAAAGCTTATATTAGAAAATAATATGAGCTGAAAATCAATTACCTAAGTATCTACTGCAAGAACTTAGGGACAAAAGCAAAACAAAGTCCAAAAAGGTAGAAGAAAGAGTATAATAAAGAAGAAAAATTAATGAAATAGAAAACAAATCTACAACAGAGTCAGTCAAACCAAATGTTGGTTCCTTGAAAAATAAAAAGGATAAAATTAATAAACTCCTGCAAGACTCATGAAGAAAAAAGAGAGATGGACAAATTTGAAGTATCAGGAATGAAAAAGAAGGCATCACTACAGAATCTACAGAAATTAGGGAAAAAAAAGAAGATATTATGAAAAATATTGTGAAAATAAATCTGAAACTAAGATGAAACAAATGTCTAGAGCACAACTTTCTGAAAGAGACACCAAAAGAGATCTGAAATGTGGACATTCTTATTTACATAAAACAAGCTGAATCTGCTATCAAAATCCATCCCACAGAAAAAACTCTAGGCCCTGATGGCTTCGCAGGTGAATTATCTTAAACATTTAAGAAAGAAATAATGGTAATGTTATGTACTCTCTTCCTGAGTATAGAAAAAGATATAATGTTTTCTAAATCACTTTGGTGAGGCCAGCATAACCTTGATACTTTCTTACTCTGAAAGTTTTTGAAACAACTGTAAGATATATAAGAGTTAGTAATTTATTGAGAAATCTACAATATGTCAGGAACCACTCAGTGCCACTCCAGGAAGCAGCTCCCATCTTTTTTGTTACCCTCATTTTTAGAAAGTTTTTATTAGTATTGATTAAAATATTTTTTGGTAGCTTCCGTCCACCAGCCCTATTTCTACCCTGAATAGAGGGGGGGAAAGTAATGTGCAAAAGAGTCCACAGATATATTTGCTCCATCTTCAAACTTTACACCATCATCAACTCTTCAAGGGTGTCAGCTTAGGATACGGAAAGAGTCAGGGTGTCTGTTTTACACATTACTTGAGAAAGATGTAATCTCAGGACCCAGGACAACCTACAAGCAAATAACAAGCGTTAAGTAAATATTTGAAGGGAAAAGCGGGAACTCATCAGCCTGCTTCATGCTGTAGGTACTTAACTCTCACATGGTCATCTCTTCTCCAATCCCTGCAGTTGCCTTCAAGCTTTCCCAGCTCTGCTCATCCTACTCATTGCCTGCCTTAGAAGGATGTCTGTAACACACAGATCTGAATATGTCTTACTTCTGCTGAAAAAGGTCTATATTCCAGGTGTTGTTCCAACCCAAGCCTGCCTACACCCAGGCAGGGGCACAGATACCCTCTAAAAGAGATGGACCTCCTGGCCACCTTCCCCAACCCCTCCCGGTGGCTGTCCCCAAGGCAGCTCTGGGCCTGCCCCACTGTCTGACCCTTTGAATGGTGGGGCTCCTCATGCTAGAGGCCTGAGCCTGGCCATGCTGTCATATCCTGGATGCACTCTATGACCCTCTTCCTCTACAATGCACATCTGGGGACCATGTCTCACCCAGTCCTAATGCCTGAAAATTCACTACAGGCTCAAGCTGTGAATGCTCCACTCACTCAGGAAAAGAATTTGGATAAGAATAGCATGTTAGGCTCATCATAATCTGTCACAAATCAGCCTCCTGCCACAGTCCTCAAAAAACCTGTACTTCAGCCACTGGAGAATGCTTGCCACTCCCTCAACAGGTCATGTTCTTTAACATATGCTCTTCCTTCTGCCTTAAATGCCTCATCTCCTCCTCCCAACAAACAACCTCCTCTCCTCACCCTGTCTGCCTGTGAAACTCCTACTCATCCATCAAGGCCCAGCTCAGACTGTGTCTTCTCTCTCCCTGAGCTCCATCAGGATTAAGTAGATTTTGGTGGTTGTGCTGCTTCTTTTCACACCAATCCCATTTTACTCTGACAGGGATATATGTCTGCCTCTGCCTGCAGATCAGGGGCTCCAGGAAGATGGGAATGTTGCCCTGTTTAGGGTGATATCCCTAAAGACTAGCTTCTTTAAATACTTTTGGAATGAACCAAAGCAGGAACTGTGCCATCACTGAATAAATAAATGTGGTGGACATTAATAAATTGTCCTTTAATAAATGAATTAATGATGATACTGTTTTTAGAGGTAGCTTTCATTTGTTACACACTTGAACATCAATACTCACTATCTCTGCCATTGTCAACATGAGACTTGCTTGACTGTTGTATATTGACTGATTGCTTCACTTATTCATTCATTTACTGAGCCCCTAATATTGCAACACAATGGGCTAGATGCTGAGGATATGGAAGTAAATAAAACAGACCCTGCCTTCATAGAGCTCAGATTCTCCTAGATCCGATTGTAAAACAATGGAGAAGTGCATTAATAGACATACATTTACGTTTCATTCTTTTCAAAGAAACATACTATTGTTTTAAAAGTTAATATGCTTGTGATAAATGTTATTCAGTGGCTGGTAACACTATAGAAATTTGGAAGTGGTTCAATCACTGGCCATTTCATTCTCTGGATGATTTTAGTTAACACCAAGATCATCAAGCAAGATTTTGCATAATTCTTATTTGAAGCTAAAAATGTGAATGAATTTTCACCTGAAAGAAATGAAGAATCTTTTTCCAAAAACAGAGATAATTATTAGCCATTTCTGGAGGTGAATTAGCAAAGGATTCATTCTCACATCGTTCTCATCTGTCTGATGGAGATGGAAGGTTTATATAGGCTTCACTAGTCCCCATGGCAACAGCCTTTCTCCTGGGTTACCATAGGAATTGTGAAGGCCTTTATAAACCTCCATTAGCAGAGCTTAGGCCGGCAGCAGTCAGAAATGTCTGCTGGAGAAGACACTGCAAAGTGTCAGTGAGGGCGTTTGAGAATTAATTTTACCCTAGAGTAGCTGCGCAGGTCTGTTTAGCACTCACCTCTACAGTTTTGAACATTCGATAACACCAGAATCAGTCTGATGCCTTGAACACTTTACATGAAGGGTTTTTCAAAATCTAGCCACAAACAGATATGACCAGATTTCAAAAAATTTTGAGAAACTAGGAGGAATCTATTTTGACAAAGCCAAGCCACACATAGGATAGAGGTAAATTCATGTTATTTTTTCAGGATAGTAGGTTGAATCCATATTGATAATTAATACAGTGATGGATGGTGTTTACAGTTGCTGCTATGGTGTGAATGTGTCTCGCCAAAATTCATATGTTGAAACTTAATCATCAATGTGATAATATTAAGAGCTGGGCCCTTTAGGAGGTGATTAAGTCATGAGGACAGAGCCCCTGTAAATGGGATTAGTGCCTCTTCCACCATGTGAGGACATAGCCTTTCCCACTTCCACCATGTGAGGGCACAACAAGAGGCACCATCTGTGAAGCAGAGAGCAAGCCTTCACCAGATACTGAATCGACTGGTGCCTCAGTTTGGACTTCCCAGCCTCCAGAACTGTGAGAAATAAATTTCTATTATTTGTAAATTATGCAGTCTAAAGTATTTTGTTATGGCAGCGCACAGGACTAAGACAGTTGCACAACAATGAGAATCTTTTTAATAGCACTGAACTGTATAACTAAAATTAGTTAAGATAGTACATTCTATGTTATGTTTTTGTACCAAAATTTAAAAAATGTTTAAATTAATGTAGTTATAATTATGTTACAACTATTATTATCTGCTGAATCCCAGGCACTGTGCTAAGTGCTTGAGATGTTCTATGTCATATCATTCCACAAGTCTATGAGTAATTATCTCTCCCTTGAAGATTATTTTTATCTCTACATTGAAGATGAGGAAACTGAGGCTTAAATAAATAAAGTAACTTGCTCAAGGGTATGCCATTAATAAGTGGTAGAGACGGCAGTCAAGCAAGTCCTGGATTGTTGGCCCTCAACCTACAACTTCAGCATTAATGCCACATTGTGTAACAGACGATTGATACATTAAAGACACATTCTGTTGAATTGATACAGGAAAGCCCTATTTGAATTCTGTTTAAATGTTTATTGTTTTCTTTTTTTAAGAACTAGGCGATTATCTCTTAGAGTCCAATTGCAGGAGGACATTCATTTTTGCTCTAACCTTTGAAATATTTTTTACATTATGTATCTTCGGAAAGCATAAATACATTTCCATCAAAAAAGTTGGGCTGTGTACAGATTAATTACTCTTGACACTTTATTTAGCAATCTATATCCAAAACCAATCACTAAAATTTACAGGAGAGTTTTATGTAGACAGAATTGTTTAGAAAAATAAGCTTAAGAATCACAGATAATTTTTAGATACTGGAAAGCCCTTTCTCATCACGGCAAAGAAAATGATCATTCCAGAAAATGTAAAATGCATGTGGTAATAATTTCCTCTTTGGTTTTTGGTCAAGCTGTATGAAAGAAATAAGCAAAAATGAGAATTTAGGGGGAAGAAATTCTACAAACCTAGGGAATTTCTTTAGCAGTAGGAAGGAATGCAACAGTAGGAACTGGTTCTTTAGAAATAAGTCTTTGGGGCATGTCATCAGCGAAGAGACATGTCCTTTTTCCAGGTTTCTTCCATATGCCAGTCACAGCTGTGAAGGACACTAACTGGGATCCTTCCACCAAGAGCCAAAAATCTGGGTCCCAGCTCCTGAAGTTTTCAATGATAAAGTAGGCAAATGAAAGAAGGAATTAATCTTTTTCTCTTTGAAGACAAATGGAAAAGAGGATACTAATTAGTAAGCAAT
The DNA here is from genome assembly GCF_000001405.40 of Homo sapiens. Lineage (NCBI taxonomy): Eukaryota > Metazoa > Chordata > Mammalia > Primates > Hominidae > Homo > Homo sapiens. The sequence continues at coordinate 99,533,448 of NC_000009.12, forward strand.
GAAAAATATACCAAATTACATCTACTTTTCTTTATTATTTTGCTTTTGAAGTGCATTTTTTCTAAATATCTGCTGGTGTTTCTGTTTAGCTACTCTGATCATTTTTTTAAAAAAAAACTGAGGGGACTTGAGGAGTTAATGCATGCAGAGTTTCTGTTTCGTGAGATGATAAAGTTCTGAAACTCTATTGCACAACAATGTGAATATACCTTATGCTACATAATGTAGCTATTGAACTGTACACTTAAAAATGGTTAAGATGGGAAATTTTGTATTATATTCTTTTTACCACAATTTTTAAAGTGAAATTGATGACATCGTAGTCTCATCAAATACTACCTAGGAGAGGTCCTAAGTGAAACCCCAAATTGCGTATTTATATAACAACACTTTGTCTTGTCCTCCAAGCCTAGCCCTTTATCTCTAGCTAGTCCATCCCATACTCCAGTAGGCAATATCCAGAAAGAAAGAGTTTCAGACACTTTTGTCCCCTTCACAGACAAAACTCAGGACCCTCTTGCCTTGCTCTCATGTTGACTTCACTCCCAATCTGCTTCTATATTCAGTCACTCCCTCTTGCTTTGGCCTGTGCCATCATCACGGCCACAACTTCTTTGATCCAGAGTTTTAACTCTCCTCTTGAGGCCCCATGTTGAATTTGCCCTCAGGCTACATCTACTTCTGGTCATGCTGCTTCCTCTGGGCCCAAGTCTCTGAATTCTACCCCAACGTGAGGGCCCATGTTTGCTCACTTCAAAAGCAGAATGCATTGGATATGAAGTTGAAAGACACTATCAGCACACTGGACAAAAGAATTATAAAACAACAAGCTAAATGTTCTCAAGAATAAATGTAACACCCTGCTCCTTGATTTCCTAAATAAATTGTTTCAATCTGGGATTCAAGTAGCTGTGTCCTGACAGCAAGTAATGTAATATATAGACTTTAGACTTTTACTGACCAATGTCGACAAGTCCAATATTAATTAATAATTTAAAAAGGCCTCTAAGATGACTAATATGATGTTTAGCTACATGAGAAAGTCAGTAAACTTTTTCTGTAAAGGACCAAACAGTTAATATTTTTAAATTTACAGACCATACATTCTCTGTCACAATACTCAATTCTGCCATTGTCTATTGAAAGCAGCCAGAGACAATGTGTGAAAGAATGGGTGTGGCTGTGCTCCAATCAAACTTTAGTTACACAAACTGGTAGCAGACAGATTTGGCTCATGGGCTATAGTGTGCCAAATCCTGTCTGTATCAATCAAAATACAGAAAAATGAAAGGGATTATTATTCTCATTACACCCTGTAGACAACAAGCCATAAGCCAATTCTTGAGTTCATTTCTGGGCTCCAAAACTTTAATTGGCCAGAGACAAGAATAGAGACCTCCCTATTGGTCATTAATACACTAACCTGGAACAGTTTTTCAGTCAGCTAAGACTCTTCCTAGAGCTACTGACATTTCATTTGAGCTTCTCTATCTAGTCCCCATGGAGAACATGGCCATCCCTGTGCGAACCTTGCTGGAATCAGTCCACCCAAGTCTACTACAGCCCTCTGCTAATCAAAGGAGAGGAGGTTACTATGTGGAATGTTGGTCCTTAGTGAACTCATGCAGTTCCTAAGGATCAGTTTCTTTAAAATGCCTACCAGGTGATCTTTCAGTAGACTGTCCTAGATTTTTAGCTACAAGATGGCAAATCCACAGGCAGAAGGCACAAACTGGTAGCCTATTGGCCCTATCTCTCTACAGTCCTATTTAATTCAGCCCTCACAATATATATTTTTTAATTTAAATAATTATCCACATTTGAAAATAATACAATTTAACATTAAAAAGTTAAAGTTCTAGCAATTCTGGACATTTCTACAACCAGCTGGAGCTCAGTGACAGCTGCCCTTTTCAGAGAGAGCTTAACCTTTCAAGCTCATAGGACCTCCACTAGCTTTACTTGACTCTTTCTAAGTTGTTATCTGGTCTCCATAAACATTTAAATTTACTATCTCTCTACACAACCCACCTTCTTCCCTTTTAGAAAATCATGACTGCGCTTAGCTGAGTCCAGTCTTCTGACACATGTTCAGTTTCACACCTTTTCCAAGATAACCAAAAGTGGTAGAGAATCTCATTTGCAAGGTCTTAGCAGTTCCCTGGGATATAACGTTCCTGGTCCAGGAGGCATGAAACTTGGTGCTCACTCACAGTCTCTTCACCAGTTGGTCTTCGATGAGCTTTTCTATGCTCTTGATTGTTCTACCCTTTTCATTCATAAGGTCTTTCTCCTTGACAGAGTGAATGGAAGGCCAAGAGTTTTGGAATGGCTTTGAAAGCACTTACCCAAGGCATTTACTTCTGCATTTTTTATGCTTCAGTTTGCGTCAAACAAAAAATGTGTGTCTTTTGATGATGTCCTGAGCATTGTCCACAAGTCACAGTTTATCCTGAGCTTTTGCTTTTCTAATGTCACTTGCACACATATTTATCATCCTTTATGTTCATTATTTGATTTATGGCCATGTTCTTTTAAGATCTGAGCTCACACAGAGCTCCCTGTGAAGCCACAGGATTCGGTCTATTTAGATATTGCCTCTGTTTCTTCTACAACAGGATTGTAGGCAATTTCATAAACAAAATGCCCAGCCCTGGGACCTTCCCAACCCTTCTGAGACATCTACCACTTTAGAATTTCAAACTAGCTGTATCTTTTCCCTAATTTTTTTTCTTTTCTTCTGACTAACACAAGCTCTGTCTCTCAAAGTTTTTCTCCTCTCTGATCATAATTATGTACAGGAGAGGGTACTTTATCTACCCACTGAGAGAAAAATCTGTAGGGCAAGTGAAGCTGGGTGGAATCTGATACCCTCTAGGTTCTAGCTTTACCCTTTTGAATTATATGGGAGTAGAGCACCTTCTGGGGGAAAAAAAACCTCAGATATATGTCACATATTAGAGTAACTGGCAAGGTAGGGGTACCCAATCAAAAGTGAACTGCAAAAGGATTTGCAGATCTCTTGGAGATAATTTCCTCCAAAAAAAGAGGAGTTTTGCACCGGGGGAGTTGGTTCTGGGGAAAAAGGTTCTCTGGGGGAAAATGTTCCAAGACAGATGGGGAGATTTTATTTGAACCCACTCTGACTGTCTCCCTAACCCCTCTCCCCATTCAGGCAGACATGCGTGCCCTGGAAAGAAGAAAGTAGAAGGATCAACTAAAAGAGCTCTCCCACTAAATGGCTGTGGGCTCCTCTAAGAAACTGAAACATGGAAGAAGGAAGGACCAGCCAGCCAGAACAGCAGTGGGTATCAAGGAATGATATAAAAGCAAGCTCAAGACAGTCAAGATTCAAGGAGCTATATACCTTGCTTCCTTTCCAGAGCTGAAATTTGAGTCAAGAGTCCATTTCTTCCATCTGGCCAGATGATCTCCAGGATACTCTCATGTATGTCAATAATAACTTTTCTTTTATAATTTTGTCTTTCTCAATATTTAACTCACAGTTCAATGCATTTCCATTCAAATATGTGTCTTGTGATATGTGGCACTACTCTACCTCCTTTTCTGAAAGGCTGCTCCTTTCTAACAAGGTGAACACCTCCACTGCCATATTTAGGTATAAGGATCCTCCCATCAAGTATCTGAGACTCCTAAAGCTGTATCTCCCTTCTCATATTAAAATATGAAAATATTCTATTTCTCATATACTAGTAAGTCTTTCCAACCTCTTGCTACATTCTCACCTTTTGTTTCCTGAACTTTTCCTCCTCAGTCTTATGCTTTTGGATAGGTAACAACCAGTTCTACAATTTAATCCAAATAGTCCCTGAGAGCACCATGATCTTCCAGTCCTTACGTGATAATAGTTACTAGTAATGGTGACAATAGATACCACTTACTGCGTAGCAACTATGTGCTGTTTACATATATTGTCTCTTATCTTTGCAAGGGAAAATTTCATCTCCACATTATAGATGAAAAACTAAAACTCAGGAGATTGAATAACTTACTCAAATTTCCAAAGCTATTAAAGTGGATGGGCTGATCTAATAGTCAGAGTCCACATGACATCCTCAAAAGAGATGACTGAAGAAAATTTAATGGAGAGACCATCTTAAGGTGTAAGCAGAGATATAGAAAACTTACAAGGAATGGTAAAGCAACTCATGGTTAAAAATAGCAGAAGACTTTTACCATCCTAGGGCATTACAAGGCAAGAAGAGTCAGTGGTTACCGGAATCTGGAGAGAGAGAGTCACAGGACAGCGCCAGCTGTCAGGAACAGCCATGACCAAGCTGCAGCCCAGCAGATAAGGAGCTGGGAAAATAAATACCCTGACCTTACTTCCCACCCTCTGATTACTTTCCAGTACCTGCCATTGGCTAAACCCAACAGGAGGCAAGAGACCAAAGTCTCCTAGCTTCCCAGCCTCCCAGTGCAAGCAGCAAGGTGGAAAAGGATGGAAAATAAATCTGGAGGTCTTGTTGTTTCTAAAATGCCATGACACATTTACCTCAAGCTAAGAGCTCTTCATTTTGGAGATCTAACACCCTGATCACCAAATCCAAATTCCATTCTCAGTCATGTTTCTTAGATTGTCATTCAGTTCCCAGATAAACCTATTTCTTTCAAGCTATTTTCCCAAATAGTGACCTGAAGAAGTAGGGAAGAAAGCCACACTGATGCTCATAAGTTCTACAGTGTCCTGATCATCTCAGAAGAGTCCTTGATGACAACATTTGCCCACACAAATGATTCATTAAGAGTGGAATAGCTCAGCAGACTCTGCCACTGCCCATATACATTTGCTTCAAGAAGTCAGTCCTCCTCCTGATGAGATGACTGGCCCAATCCACAGTTCCTTTAAATCCTTTACACCTTGATTTTCTCTTTGGCCTTTACTCTCCTACCCATACCCTATCTATCTCTATTTTAAGCAGGAATACCAAGAAGCATTCATCAGTCTCTTTCATGTTCTTCTGTATCATGGAAATCTGTTAAGACCTTCGGTGACTACTGATTACTGGTTAACTGTGTAACCAACATGCCCCCATCTTTGAAGGATATCTTCCATGACTCTCTCAAAGATGACTATTTTTTTCTCAAAAATAGTAATTGTATTGGTCAGTTCTCAAGATAATAAGTGGGTCATTTTTTTCAGGCAGTTAGTTTTATTGCATTACAAAGTCATGTGGAATAAAACACAATTATGTATGTAGGAAAACCTAAGAAATCTATAATAAAGTTTCTAGAACAAGTGAATTTAGCAAGGTCACAGGTTACAAGGTCAATATTTAATATCAATTATAATTTTATATACTAGCCATGAAAAATTAGAAAGGTCGGGCGCAGTGGCTCACGCCTGTAGTCCCAGCACTTTGGGAGGCCGAGGCGGGCAGATCACGAGGTCAGGAGATCGAGACCATCCTGGCTAACACAGTGAAACCCCATATCTACTAAAAATACAAAAAAATTAGCCGGGCATGGTGGCGGGTGCCTGTAGTCCCAGCTACTCGAGAGGCTGAGGCAGGACAATGGCGTGAACCTGGGAGGCGGAGCTTGCAGTAAGCTGAGATAGTGCCACTGCACTCCAGCCTGGGCGACAGTGCGAGACTCCGACTCAAAAAAAAAAAAAGGAAAAATTAGAAAATAAAGTCAAAGAAATAATATGGATTTTAATAACATTTAAAAATAAACACTTATGAATATATTTGATACATGTATGTAAGATCGATACACTGAAAACTATAAAATGTTGCTATGATAAATTCAGAACACCTGAATAAATTAACAGATACATGTATGTTTATGAACTGCAAGTCTCAGCGTTAAGATATTAATTCTCTCCAAAATGATTTTAGATTTGGTGTTATACCTATAAAACCCCAGTAGTCTTTTTTGTGTAGCAGTTGACACACTGACTCTAAAATGTATGTGAAATTGTAAATGACCCAGAATATCCAAAACAATTTTGAAAAAGAAGCACAAAGTTGGAGAACTTACCTTACCTGACTTCAAGACTTACTGACCAACATGGTGAAACCTCATCTCTGCTAAAAATACAAAAGTTAGCCAGGCGTGGTTGTGGGTGCCTGTAATCCCAACTACTTGGGAGGCTGAGGCAGGAGAATCGCTTGAACCCGGGAGGCAGAGTTTGCAGCAAGCTGAGATAGCACCATTGCACTCCAGCCTGGGCGTCAGAGCAAGACTCCATCTCAAACACACAGACACACACACAACTTTAGCAATCAAGACAATGCAGAACTGGTGTATGATAGACAAATGGATCAATGGGATGTAGAGCTCACACATGTGTGGTCAACTAATTTTCAACAAAGGAGCCAGGATCATTCAATAAGGAAAAGACAGTCTTCAACCAACTGGGCAGGAATGACTGGATATCTGTATGCACAAAAAATGAACTTCAACCCTTAACTCAGGTCATCCATAAAAATTAACTTGAAATAAATCATAGGACAAAACATAAAAACTAAAACCATAAACTTCTAGAAGAAAACATAGGAGAAGATCTTTGAGACCTTGAAGATTTTTATTCGGGACACAAAAAGCATGGAACATAAAATAAAAACTGGCAAGTTGGACTTCTTCTAAGAAGCAGTAATGGTCCTGAGGCTACTGTGTAGGGCCAGTTTAGGTCAGCTTGTCATGTAGATGAGTCACTTTTCCTCTTCTTATGTTTGTTCTTATGCTAACAAACATGTTTAATTATCCCTCAGCCGAAGCTCTTGAGTTCTACCATAGTTTGAGGAAAGTGCTCCAGTCAAACCTGTTCAAGTTCTCTGCACAGGACTGTGTCTCAATCCCAGCTAACAATAAAATGTGAATTTGTGGTTCTCTTACTTTTTCTTTGTAATACATAAAAAGAAGAGATTGAGCCAATTCAGAATTTATTCTTTTCTGGGTCTCAGGCCATAATAATATCCAACATTGTCAACACCTTATGATTAACTTTGCACAGGCTTCCTGCACTGATTCCATGCTTTGCCTCATTCCATGGCGCTAAGAAGCAGTGTTCTCTAAGCATTAAATTAGAATCCTTAAACCTAGTTAATTGGCCTTCTCCCTGGAGAAAGAAAACTCTTCCCAAGAGAACACTTCTACCCTAATCTGCCCTACAACCCTTAGAATACAATTTACCTTGGATCACCATGGATATTTTTCCCATTATTGAACCTCAAATCCCACCAAAGTACCCATCTCTGGCTTAACTAAAGACATGGACATTGATAAAGATGTGCCTCTCCTGAAATGACTCCAAGATATCTTAACCGCTTGAAACAACTTTCCGCTGCCCAAATCCCTGCCCTTAGGGTCAGGACAATGAGATGGGCCACAGAAACCTAAGAATAAAAGTAATTGAGGCTGAAACCCTTCAAAGGAAGAGCACACATCAGTGGTGTCATACACAATGAATCTATTGACCTATTTCTGGCCTCATCTTTTGCTAGCCCTTGATTTGTGGACTTGAGTCTTTATTCTTCTGCATGAACCCAGCAATTTCGGAATTTCTGAAATATCATGCTGAAACCTCCCCTTAGCACCTTAGGGTTCTAGTAATGTCTCTAGCATCAGATATTAAGTTGGTGCAAAAGTAATTGCAGTTTTTGCCATTACTTGTATTGTAATTGTGGCAAAAACTGCAATTACTTTTGCACCGACCTAATATATTCCTTTGGATGTAGTCCCAGCTGACTTGCTTTATCTAAAAGAAACTGATTGCTATTAATTCTTTTTAAAAAGCACAGAACTGAGGAAAGCTTTTGAGGTTTTTCTGCAGCTCTGTCATAAATTCTTCAGTTCATTTCTTTTCCGGACCCTGGAGACACAAAGATGGCCCTTGACCACAAAAAAATTACCCTCTGGTTAGAGAGAAACTGGAGCTAGTCTCATAATTTTTTGAGCTAAGACCTGTTTACAGGGCTGGTATGAGAATCAAATGGGAAAATGCAAACTCCATGCACAATGAATTCATGTATATTCTACACGCAAGGAACAGTATATCTAATGTGTCTTCCACGAGAGGTTGTATTAATGAGATCCTCAGTCTGAAAACAAAGTACAAAAAAAAAAAACTAATTAGCAGAAACCTTACTTGAATTCTAGATTTATACCAAAAACATAATTACTTAGGCAGTGTGCTATCTTTATCTCCTTTATTTACCATTAAGGATATCACCTGAGTTACTTTTTAAAATGTTTGTTTGCTCTGTTTTCACTTTAACAAAATGGCCCCTTCAACCCAACCTCTCAGCCACTCTTCTCGCCAAACAGGACACTCACTCTATACGTAATAGGCCTCAGAGATGGCCTTGAAATGGGACCTCCACTTGTCCCCAGAGTCTTCTTGGGCTCTACCATTAGCCATTCCACAGAGAAAGGGTTTCAAAGTACCCTGTCTTCAATATAAAATTTAAGTCTTGTAGCTGCTAAGTTGCAGATTTAACTCATGCTTAGCTTTTCACCCTCCTCTTCTTCATGCTCACCCCTACCCAGCCTCCCTTGTCTCATTTGTGTACATGTCAACTTGCCTCACTAGATCCTAATTTCATTTGAAAACAAAAACTATATGTCTCTTTCATCTTAAGGAGGTCTCTGGCATTGTCTAGTTCAATGTTTTGCACACAATAAATCCTAATACACATTTTAAAAGAAATTGATCAACATACTAAAGCCTCTCTCAAAAAGAATAGATCCCTGAGAGCTGGATATGACCAGAAAACAGCAGGACTCCTTGTCTGGGGTTTGGATGAATGGGAAGGTGAACTGGTCAACAGAGGCCGGGGCTGCAGTAGGCACCGTTGCCGAAACTTGGAAAATTGCTAATGTGGGCCCAATCTTTTCCAGAGGTACCACTGGGAACTTGGGGATTACAGACCATTTAAACTCCACCTTGATATCTATCAGGACAACAGAAGGAGAGTTTACAGAAGAAAAGAAGCATACAATGCAGATAAGGTGGATGTGACACTAGGTCTCAGCATGGCTTTCCCTGGGGAGGCTTGGCCTCTGCAGCCAGGGTGAGTTCTTTGATAAGGAGAATGAAGGGGCAGACTGTTCAACACAGTTGTACGAGAATCAGATTTGTTCATGTTTTCAGCCAGTTTGGGTGGGAAGTAGAACACAGGAACTCAAGGAAAACAGGAGTTTGCATGGGTTCTTGCTTGGATTCAAACATCTTCCTAGCAGGAAACAAATGTGATTAACTTGGGTAGCACAGCAGTGAGCTGGGAATTCCTAAAGAGTCACTTAATAGAAGAAATGCATTCCAGCCAGGTTTGCTATAAAGAGTGTTTCTGTGGGTGAATCCTACATGCCTACTGATTGCATTTTTTAAAAAATCAAGCAGAGTGTTCCGAAATAGGAACCAATAATCCGAAGAAGTATACCAAAATATTGATCATAGTCAGAGTGCTAGAGAGTTATGATATCCAAATGCCTTTTGGATATTTCTATCTCTGTACCCTCTGAAATACCTAGATTCAACATTAAATTATAGACCCTCTTAAACTCACGTCCCTGCCTATGCTCCCCATTGCTAAAATAAAGATCACCATCATCCTCCCAGTCACAAAGGTGTGAAATACAGGAGCTGTCTTTAACTCCCTCTTGCCAGTTTTATCTCAACACTATCCCTCTTCTTCAACCCAGTTAACACTGCCACAGGTCAGACTTCATCAGGTCTTATGAAAACTAAAACACTAGCTTCCTATCTGGTTTTTCTACCTCCTGATATTTCCCTGAAAGCTCGCTCCACACACTGCTTCCAGATCAATCTTCAAAAACCACATCTGTAATTGTGTCATGCTCCCACTCAAAAACCTTTGAAGGCTTCCCATTGTCTAAACAAAACCTTAACATTGTAACCTAGAAGTCAAGAGCTGCATAATCTGGTTCCAACGTAACTTTACAGTCTTCCTTTATTCCCCTGCACTTTCATTTCTCTTCAAATGAATTCAACTTTAATTAAAGTACTATCTACGATTTATTGAATACAGTCCAAGCATGCATGTGCACTAGCTCACTAGCTCTCTATGTTTTTTATCTATAGCAACATATGTAACATATATAAAAACATAGATATATAAATATCACACACACACACACATATAAAACACATCTCCATGAGATATATCTTGTGATTGATCCCCATATGACAAATGAGGAAACTGAGGCCCAGAAAGATTAAATAACCTGCCACAGGTCACCCATTCAGTAGATGACAGAGCCAGGTCTTCATCTCCAAAGCCCAGGCCTTGCATCTCTACCCTAAAGAATTTTCCCTGTTCTGAAAGCTCCTTCACTACCCCCTCCACCATGAAAAGCAAATGATTATGTTACTCTTGCCTTAGTGCTTTTAGTTCCCTGAAGCTCTTTGTTGCACAATCTGGATGAGGAGTTTTCTAGCTCCAATTTTCTATAAAGATTTAAATCATCAGAAGTGATCACTTCTGGTGATCACGTAGTTATTTGTTTCTAATTTCAATTTATCTGGATCAGGAATTGTCCTTATAGAATGGAACTGTTTTTCCTACTCTTTTGACAAGCAATAGAGGAAGAATTGGATAAGCGACATGTATTCACTTAAGGAAAATCAGGATGGTTTGTGAAATCTCATCTGAATCTCTTCTCCATGGCCTGATTTTCACATGGAATTGAGAAATGTACACAATATGCCTGCTGAAGGCGTTGGGTAGAAGGAGCAATCTGGAGGCACAGAAAAAAATGATGTGATGCTATGGAATTTTTTAAGATTCTCTGAAGGTGCATGTCCTGCTGATGTTAAAGCTAAAATAGTGTTTTTGTCATAGCTATTAAATGATATTAGCTGATTATTTTCACAGGTTTAATTCTAGTACCTCTATGAGTATTGACTAGGCTTTTGAACAAAGAGGTCATCCTCTTGCTACACTTGCAAACTACCATGCTATCTCAGTTTGTTCATGCTGCTATAACAAAATGCCTGAGACTGGGTAACGCATCAATAATAGAAATATATTTCCTCACAGTTCTGGAGCTGAGAAGCCCAAGATCAAGGCACAGACAGATTTAGTGTTTGATGAGTCCCAGTCCTAATAGATGGTGACATATAGGTATCCTCACATGGTGGAGGGGTTGAAGAATAAAAACAGTCAGGCAGCTCTCCGAAGGCACATTCATGAGGACAGAGCTCTCATAACTTAGTCATTTCCCAAAAGGCCCCATATCTTAATACTATTGCATTAGGGATTAAGTTTCAACATGAATTTTGGAAGGAAACAAACATTCAAATCATAGCATTCTGCCCCTTCCTGCTTCAAAAAATTCATGTCCTTCTCACAAATAAAACACATTCATTCCAACCAAATAGCCCCAAAAGTCTTAACTTATTTCAGCATCAACTTTAAAGTCGAAGTCCAAACTCTTCTAAATCTGATATGGGTGCAACTCAAGACACAATTCATCCTGAGGCAAATTCCCCTCCAGCTGTGAGCCTGTGAAATCAACCAAGTTATATGCTTCTAAAATACACGGTGGAATGGCATAGAATAGACATTCCCATTGCAAAAGGGACAAACAGGGAAGAAGAAACAGGTAGCAAGTCCCAAGAAAGTCCAAAATCCAACAAGACAAACAATATTAAATCTTAAGGCTGGAGAATAATTTTCTTTGACTCCATATTCCATCTTCCAGACACACTGGGGCAGGGGTTGGGCTCTGAAAGCTTCAAGCAACCCTGCCCCTGTAGCTTTGCTGGGAGCAGTCCCTGCCTCAGCTCTCCCAGTCTGTAATTGCATGCTGGCAGCTCTAAGTCTGGAGTCTCAGGGGTAGCCCTACCCCATGGCTCCAGTAGACATTGCCCTAATGGAGACTCTGTGGTGCTCCTGTCCTCACAGCTCCTACATTCTGTGTGCCTGCAGAGTTTGCACCACATGAACACCACCAAGGTTTACAGCCTGTGCCCTTCTTGGGGTAGGGTGGGGATGTGATGGCACATCATACTGCACCATTGCAGCCATATCTGGGCTGGCTGAAGACCCCTGTGCTGGAATGCATGGAAAGAAACATGAGGCATCCTTGGACAGTGAGCCCTTAGGTCCCATGGGCATCCTCAGTCCTTCCCTTGAAACTGACCTCAAATCCCTGGCCCTCTGGGCCTATGATAAGAATGCCAGCCTTAAAGATTTCTAAAATGCCTTCAGGGTCATTCTTCTTTATTTTGATGAACAGCACCTGGCTTCCTTCTAGCCATATTAATCTTCTTAACAAAAGGGTCTCTTGGCTGCACCCTTGATATTCTCTTTTGAAAGCACTTTTTCTTTCTTCTTTAAAAAATGTTAAATGCTACTTTAATTATGTCAATTTCCTACTCCAAAACCTTCAGTGACTTCCTATTGCCTTTTTGTAAAGCAAGGTTTAAGGGAAATGGTATACTTATCTGTTACTGAATCTTATTTATTGATTAATATTATTTCTCTTCTTTTTTAATTTCTAATTTTTGTGGTTACATAGTATGTGTACATATTTATGGGGCACATGAGATATTTTGATACAGGTATACAATGAATAATAATCATATCAGGGTAAGTGGGGCATCCATCACCTCAAGCGTAACCTTTGTGTTACAAACAATCCAATTATATACTCTTTAAGTTATTTTAAAATACAACTATTATTGACTATAGCCATCCTGTTGTGCTATCAAATGCTAGAACTTATCTATTCTTTCTATTTTGTTTTTGGACTCATTGAGCAGCCCCACTTTCCCCCCACTCCTCCACTACCCTTCCCAGCCTCTGGTAACCATTATTCTACTATCTTCATGAGTTCAATTGTTTTAATTTTTAGCTCCCACAAATAAGTCAAAACATACAAAGTTCGCCTTTCTGTGCCTGGCTCATTTCACTTAACATAATGACCTCCACTTCCATTCATGTTGCTGCAAATGACAGTATCTCATTCTTTTTTATGGCTGAATAGTACTCCATTGTGAATATGTACCAAATTTTCTTCATCCATTCATCTGCTGATAGACACTCAGGATGCTTCCAAATCTTGGCTATTGTGAATAGTCCTGCAATAAACATAGTAGTGCCGATACCACTTTGATATTTACTAATTCCCTTTTTTGTGGGTATATACCTAGCAGTGGGATTGCTGGATTGTATAGTAGTTTTATTTTTAGTTTTTTGAGGAAGCTCCAAACTGTTCTGAATAGCGGTTGTACTAATTTACATTCCTACTAACAGTGTATGCGGATTCCCTTTTCTCCACATTCTCAGCAGCATTTGTTATTACCCATCTTTTGGATAAAAGCCATTTCAACTGGGGTAAGATGATATCTCATTGTAGTTCAGATTTACATTTCTCTGATGATCAATGATGTTGAGCACCTTTTTGTGTATCTGTTTGCCATTTGTATGTTTTTATTTGAGACGTGTCTATACAGATCTTTTGCCCATTTTCAATCAGATTATTCGACTTTTTTCCTATAGAGTTGTTTGAGCTCCTTATATACTCTGATTATTAATCCCTTGTCAGATGGGTAATTTGCAAATATTTTCTCCCATTCTATGGGTTGTCTCTTCACTTTGTTGATTGTTTTCTTTGCTGTGCAGAAGCTTTTTAACTTGAGGCAATCCCATTTGTCCATTTTTGCTTTGGTTGCCTGTGCTTGTGGGGTATTACTCAAGAAATCTTTACCCAGACCATTTTCCTGGAGGTCTCCCCAAAGTTTTCTTTTAGTGGTTTCATAGTTTGAGGACTTAGATTTAAGTATTTAATCCATTTTGATTTGATTCTTTATATAGCAAGAGATAGTCTAGTTTCATTCTTCTGCATATGGATACACAGTTTTTTCAGCACCATTTCTTAAAGAAACTGTCCTTTCCTCGATGCATTTTCTTAGCACCTTTGTTGGAAATGAGTTCACTGTAGATGAACGGATTTATTTTTCAGTTCTCTATTCTGTTCCATTAGTCTATGTGTCTATTTTTATGACAGTAGCATGACATTTTGGTTGTTATAGCTCTGTAATATAATTTGAAGTCATACAACATAATTCCTCCAATTTTGTTCTTTTTACTCAGGATAGCTTTGGCTATTCTGGGTCTTTTGTGGCCAAAAAAACTTTAGGATTGTTTTTTTTCCATTTTTGTGAAGGATGTCATTGATATTTTGATAGGAACTACTTTGAATCTATAGATTGCTTTAGGTAGTTTGGATATTTTAACAATATTGACCCTTCTAATCTATGAACATGGTATATTTTTCCATTTTATTATGTCCTCTTCAATTTCTCTCATCAATATATTTTATAGTTTTCATTGTAGAAATCCTTCCCTTCTTTGATTAATTGCTAAGTATTTTATTTTATTTGTAACTATGGTAACTGGGATTAATTTCTTGATTTCTTTTTCAGATTACCCACTGTTGGCATATAGAAATGCTATTGATTTTTGTACGTTGATTTTGTATTCTGCAACTTTACTGAATTTGTTTATCATTTCTAATAGCATTTTGGTGGAGTCATTAGTTTTTTCCAAATACAAGATCATAACATCTGCAAACAAGAATAATTTGACTTCTTCCTTTCCAGTTTGGATGCCCTTTATTTCTTTCTCTTGTCTGATTGCTCGATCTAGGACTTACAGTACTATATTGAATAACTGGTGAAAGTGGGTATCTTTGTCTTGTCCCAGATCTCAGAGGAAAGGCTTTCAGTTTTTCCCCATTCAGTATAATTCTAGCTGTGGGTCTGTCACATATGGCTTTTATTATGATGAGGTATGTTCCTTTTATTACCCTGTTTTTTAGGGTTTTTATCATGAGGGGATGTTAAAATTTATCAAATGCTTTCTCAGCATCAATTGAAATGATCATATGGGTTTTGTCCTTCATTCTGTTGATAAGATGTATCACACTGATTGACTTGCATATGTTGAATCATCCTTGCATCCCTGGGATAAATCCCATTTGGTTATGATGAATGATCTTTCTAATGAATTGTTGAATTTTGTTTGCTAGTATTTTGTTGAGGATTTTTGCATCAGTGTTCATCCAGGGATATTGGCCCGTAGTTTTCTTTTCTTTTTTTAATGTGTCTTCATCTAGCTTTAGTATCAGTGTAATATCAGCCTTGTAGAATACATTTTTGGAAGTATTTCCTCCTCCTCTATTTTTCAGAATAGTGTGAATGAATCAGTATTAGTTCTTCTGTAAATGTTTGGTAAAATTCAACAGTGAAATAATCATGTCCTGGGCTTTCTTTGCTGGGAGACATTTTATTACAGCTTTGCTCTCATTACTTGTTATTGGTCTATTCAGGTTTTAGATTTGTTCATAGTTCAATCTTGGTAGGAATTTATCCATTTCTTCTAGGTTTTCCAATTTATTGGCATACAGTTGCTCACAGCAGCCTCTAATAATCCTTTGAATTTCTGTGGTATTTGTTGTAATGTCTTCTTTTTCATCTCTGCATCTCTGATCTTATTGATTTGGGTCTTTTTTTTTTTCTTAGTCCGGCTAAAGGTTTGTTGATTTTGTTTATCTTTTCAAAAAACAACTTTTCATTTTGTCAATCTTTTATATTGTTTTATTCATTTTAATTTTATTTTTGCTCCTATTTTTATTATTTCATTTCTTTGACTAATTTTGAGTTTGGTTTGCTCTTGCTTTTCCAGTTCTTTAAGACGTATCATTGGGTTGTTTATTTGAAGTTTTCTATTTTTTTGATGTAGGCATTTATACCTATAAGCTTCCCTCTTAGTAATACTTTCACTGTATCCCATAGGTTTTGGTATGTTGTGTTTCCATTATCATTTGTTTCAAGAATTTTTTAAATTTCTTAATTAATTTAGTCATTGACCAACTTGTCATTCAGAAGCATGTTGTTTCATTTCCATGTGTTTATGTAGTTTGTAAAATTCCTCTTTTTATTAATTTCTAGTTTTATTCCATTGTGATCAGAGAAGATACTTGATATTATTTCAAATCTTTAAAAATGTTTTAAGGCTTGTTTTGTGGCTTAATACATGGCCTATACTTGAGAAAGATCCATGTGCTGAGTAAAAGTATGTGTATTTAGTAGCCATTGGATGAAATGTTCTATAAATATCTACTAGGTCCATTTGGTCTATGGTGCAGATTAAGTTCATTGTTTCTTTGTTGATTTTCTCTCTGGATGATCTGTCCAGTGCTGAAAGTGGGGTGTTGAAGCCTCTAGCTATTATTGTATTCAGGGTCTATCTACTTAGCTCTAATAATATTTGCTTTATCTAGCTGAGTGCTCCAGTTTTGGGCACATATATATTTACAATTGTTTCATCTTCTTGCTAAATTTACCTGTTTATCATTGTATAATGACCTTCTTTGTTTCTCTTTATAGTTTTTGTCTTGAAATTAATTTTGTCTGATACAGTATAGCTACTCTTGCTCATTTTTTGTTTCTTTTGGCATAGAATACCTTTTTCCATCCCTTTATTTTCAGTCTATGTGTGCCTTTATAGGTGAAGCATATTTCTTGTAGGCAACAGATCATTGGGTCTTGTTTTTTATTCATTAAGCCACTGCATGTCTTTTAATTGGAGAGTTTAGTCCATTTACATTCAATATTATTATTAATAAGTAAGGACTTACTCCTGCCATTTTGTGACTTGTTTTCTGGTTGTTTTGTGGTCTTTTTTTCCTTCCTTCCTGTCTTCCTTTTAGTGAAGGTGATTTTCCCTGGTGGGATGATTTAATTTCTTGCTTTTTATTTTTCATGTATCCATTGTATGTTTCTTCATGTGGCTTGCAAATGATTTCTTATAACGCATTATTTTAAACTGATGACAACTTAACACTGATTGCATAAATAAACAAAGAGAAAACTCTACACTTTAATTTTCTCCCCCCATTTTTTAACTTTTTGTTGCTTCTATTTATATTTTATTGTACTGGATATGTCTTGAAAAGTTGTTGTAGTTACTATTTTGATCCAGTTCATCGTTTCATCTTTCTACCTAGGATATGAGTAGCTTGCACAACACAATTAGTGTTATAACATTCTCTGCTTTTCTGTGTACTTACTATTACCAGTGAGTTTTGTACCTTCAGATGATTTCTTATTCCTCATTAACTTTTCCTTTCAGATTGAAGAACTCCTTTTAGCATTTCGTGTAGGACAGGTCTGGTGTTGATGAAATCCCTCGGGTTTGGTTTATCTGGAAAAGTATTTCTCCCTCATGTTTGAAGGATATTTTCACCAGATACACCACTCTAGCATAAGATTTTTTTTTTCCTTCAGCACTTCAAATATGCCATGCCACTGTCTCCAGGCCTGTAAGGTTTCCACTGAAAAGTCTGCTGCCAAATATATTGGAGTTCCATGGTATGTTATTTGTTTCTTCTTTCTTGCTGCTTTTAGGATCCTCTCTTTATCCTTGACCTTTGGGAGTTTAATTATTAAAATGATTTGAGATATTCTTCTTTAGGTTAAAACTGCTTGGTATTCTATAATCTTATAGAACTTCAATATTGATATCTTTCTTCTCTTGAGAGGTTCTCTGTTATTATCCCTTTGAATAAACTTTCTACCCCAATCTGTCTCTCTACCTTCTTTTTAAGGTCAATAACTCTTAGATTTTGAGACTTTTGAGACTATATTCTAGATCTTGTAAGCATACTTCATTCTTTTTTATTCTTTTTTCTTTTGTGTCCTCTGACCGTATGTTTTCAAATAGCCTGTCTTCAAGCTCACTGATTCTTTCTTCTGCAGAATAAATTCTTCTATCAGGAAACTCTGATACATTCTTCAGTTTATCAATTGCATTTTTCAACTCCAGAATTTCTGCCAGATTCTCTTTATTTCAATCTTTTTGTTAAATTTATCTGATAGTATTTTAAATTCTTTCTCTGTGTTATCTTAGATTTCATTGAGTTTCCTCAAAACAGTTGTTTGAAATTATTTGTCTGAAAGGTCACATATCTCTTTCTCTCTGAGATTGGACCCTGATGTCTTATTCAGTTCATTTGTTCAGGTCATGTTTTCCAAATATTCTTAATGCTCATGGATGTTTATTGGTGTCTGGCATTGAAGAATTAGGTGTCCTCACATGGTGAAATAGTGGAACAGCAAAAGACTAGGCAGCTCTCATTAATCTCATTCATGAAGGTGGAACCCTCATGACTTCATCACTTCCCAAAAGGCCCCATCTTATAATAGTATTACATTAGAGGAATATGAATTTTGGAGGGACACAAACATTCAAACCATAGCACACACTGATATAAGAATGCTTATGTAGATTTTTTAATAAATATGATGTTTTGTTGAAATTTGTACAGGATTCATAACATGAAAGATGTTTTTTATCTATATCTTTCTGCACATTCTATATAATAAAATATTTTCATAGTACTTTATAATTTACAAGGAATATTTATATGTTTTCTCATTTGATCTTTAGTTTTTTCTTGAAAAACAAAAGAATCTTTATAGATAAGGAAGCATGGCTCAGACAGGTAAGGTGACTTATGTATGTCTTAGAACAATGCATGGAAGAAAAAGGATTTGAATTCTAGTATAATTCCAAGTCCAAAGTGTTTCCAAGCACCTTCTAGATATCCGGCACTAGGAAGGGCAAGAGGAATAGAAAATTGAATGAGATATCAAGAAGCATACAATGTGGTGGGAAGATAAACAGAGAAGACAGTGTAAAGTAATTTGACAGAGGAATATACAGGATGTTATGGAAGCTCTGAGGAAAGGCTCAAATATCAGCTAAGAAACATGAGGAGGGCTTATAAACTGAGTCTTAAAGAATGACTGAGATTGAGCCACATAAAAGATAGAGAAAAATGGTGATGAATTACAGACAAGGGAAGAACATGAGCAAATATCTGTAGTCAGTCCTGCCTGGTTGGGGTGGTGGGGAATGTGAACTCCATGGAGTTCCTTGTTGCCAAAGCAGAAAGAGTCAAGTAGGAGGATTGATTGATGAGACAAAGACATCTACAGATATTAGATCATGGAAGCCCTTATATGTGAAGAGCCTAGACATGTTTCTATAGATACCATTCAATTATTTAAATCCTTTAAGAATGAGCTTGGTGTAGTCAGATTTGTATTTTATTAGATTATACTGACTATCCTATAAGGATAGACTGAAAGTAAACAGGAATGAAAGAAGGGAGACTTGTGTGAACGTCATTACAGCAATCCAGGAGAGGGAGAGATGAGTCTTGACTTAATTTGGAATGATTGGCCATTGATATGATATGGCTGACAAGGGAAAAAGAGAAGTTGAGGATAAAACATCCTCCAAGTTTTAACCTGGTGCTTAGGCAAGGATGAATTACCAAATTCATGAAAAGGAGCTGGTTTGGGGACATGTTGTGTTTGAGGGGTGAGCTGGAGTGGTCTAGAAGGCAAATATCCAACTCTAAAACTCCCAACTCTAAAACTTAGAAAAAGGTGTGGATGAAAGAGAGATTCTCTCAAGTTAGTGACTTATAAGTGTTAATAAAAGTTATGGAGGTGGAACACCTTACTTAAGGAGAACGTGAAACTGTGGGCAACTTTGGAGACTTCCAATCTGTAAGAGGAAAAGAAGCCTAAAAAGGACCAGAGATTAAAAAAAAAAACAGTGATAGAATTGTGACATATTACAAGAATCAGAAAAATTAGTGTCCTAGGTGCCAAGGAAATCCAGAGTTTCAAGACGGGAAAGAAATTAACAATGTCAAAGAGATTCAGTAAGATATGAACTGAAAAACACTTATTGGAATTGGCACTTCAGAAGCTGTTATTGATTTTAGTGATATCTGTTTTAATGAAATGATTGGGACAAGAAGCTAAACTGCAGCCAATTGAGGAGTGTATGGGAGGTGAAAAAGTGGAGGCAGTGAGTGTAGGCAACTCTTCTGAAATATATGGATAGGATGCTACCTTGTTAGAGATGAACATAGCATAAAGGCAGTTATGTTTTTTGAAAGTTTTTTTTGAGGATGGGAAAAATTACTATTTTTATACCATGGGGGAGAAGGTTTTATATAAGAAAAAGGAGGTGATGACTGCGAGAATAAGTGTGGGTGTGGGAGAAAAAAGTGGCATCAAGGAAACACATCCTCTGAGACTGAGAAAAGAAGAGGCAATAAATGGTAGGCTGCTGAAAGTTGAGAAATATGATGCCAGAGGCATAATTTTCTCAGTGGGGTAAAAGACACAATCTTCTGCCAGTAATGTGGGGTGTGGGGAGTTGAATGTGGAACTAAAGGAGAGTGATAGAGGTTCAGAGTTGCTAAGAAGAAAAGGATGCTCAATCATGGGGTCTAAAGAGGGAAAGGAATAAAGGCTGAGAAAATGCCAAGTGCCTAGAGGAAGCAAATGCATGAGAAAACTAGAAGGTAGAGGGAAGTTGAAGACTTCAGAGGTGTCTTGGTATACTTTGTGCTGCTACAACAAAATACCCCAGACTAGGTAATTTTATAATGAACAGAAATGTATTGGCTCATCATTCTGGAGGCTGGAAAGCAAGGGGCCATGTCTGATAAGGGCCTTCTTGCTGCATCATCCCATGAAAGAAGAGCAAAGAGAGGGCAAGAGAGAGGGAGAGAAGGGGGCCAAGCTTGTCCTTTTATGATGAACTCACTCATGTGATAATAAACCCACTTCTATACTAATGCAGAATGCATTAATCGATTCATGAGGGTAGAGCCCTCATGGCCTAATCACTTCTCATTAGGCCCCACCTTTTAACATTGTGGCATTGGGGATTAAGTTTCCAGCATATGCTTTTTTGGGGGTACGGGAGTGCTTCAAACCACAGCAGAGGACTACTCTTAGGAAATGGCCCTTGAGTATATGACTTAAATTGAGGCAAGATTGTCTCTAGAAATAAGAAGTTTCGGAATTATGAGACTAGGATGTTGGATGGTTCAATTCTTGTCATAGAAATCTCCTAGGATGATGGCAGGACTTAAAGAGAAAGATTATAAATCAGCTGCCAGAGTCTTCAATAAATGAATAACAGTAACTGGGAGGCAAGTCAATGGCAGTGAAATAGAAGATATTGTGGGCTATACAAACAAATATAATGAAACTCAAAATAAATAGCAATTTTCACAAGGTGAAAGTGTAATGCTGGAAACATTCAAAAAGATCTGGGTTAATGTCAAGCTCTTTCCAGCTCCATGGTGCATGGAAAGAGAGAATGAGTAGCCTCCACTCAGGAAGTCCACATGGGGCATCCAGATCTCAGTGAAAGGAGGTGAGTAGAGAGTTATTCACCAGGGAGCAAGGACTCAGGGGCACAATGGAAAGAGGCAGAGAAGTCAGTACTGGCCAGGCGTGGTGGCTCATGCCTGTAATCCCAGCACTTTGGGAGGCCAAGGCAGGTGGATCATTTGAGGTCAGGAGTTCAAGACCAGCCTGGCCAACATGGTGAAACCCTATCTCTACCAAAAATAAAAAAATTAGGCAGGTGTGGTGGCACGAGCCTGTAATCCCAGCTACTCAGGAGGCTGAGGCAGGAGAATCGCTTGAGCCTGGGAGGCGGAGGTTGCTGTGAGCAGAGAACACGCCACTGCACTCCAGTCTGGGCAACAGAATGAGAGCCTGTCTCAAAAAAAAAAAATTAATCAATTAACTAAATTTAAAAAAAGAAGTCAATACCGAGAAGAACATAATGAGACTTCATCTCTCCAAAAAAATTAAAAAATTAGCTGAGTGTAGTGGCATACATATGTGGACCTAGCTACTTGGGAGGCTGAGGTGGGAGGATAACTTGAGGCCATGAAGTTGCGGCTTCAGTGAGCCATGATCACACCACTACACTACACCCTGTATGACAAAGCAAGACCCTGTCTCAAAAAAAGAGAAATGAGAATGGGAGACCAAGAGAAATCAGATGTGGCCTTTCATTTGTGATGGAGAATTGCAGAGATGGGGGCCTGGTTAGAAGATACCCTGCACCCACATCCCACTCCATTACGTAGTCTGACTGTGGCCCATGTGCCTGTGATGCCAGAATGGGCCCAGGTCTTAGTGTCCAGCTGGTCTCAAAGAGATTATGAGGGTTGCTGGAGGTCTACAAACAGCTCTCCAGAGCCTCCCCCTTGCCTCCTGATATTCAAAGAAAGTATTCTTAGCTCAACCCACATTAATTTTTTATCCAAGATAAATCTTCCAATTAAAAAAAATCAATTCTCAATCCTTTAAAATATGCTAAATTAAAATGTGCAAAACAACTATTATCTTCTTCCTTTAAAGAGAAACAGAGAAGTCTTTACATCTGCTTTTTCCTATTTTTTAGCAGAAAAAAATGGAGCAAATGATGTGGTTGAAGCCAAGGTTGTCTATAAAGTGTGAAAGCATTTCCTTTCCTTTCCCAGCAGCCAGGACTAACACTAGGAGGGAGAGAAAATCAGCATTAAAGTTTTACTTAAATTACAAAACGGGGCGAAGACCTTGCCCAAAGATGATATCTCATGTCTCCTGTGACAGATAATGAATGACTCAAGACAAAGGTCATTCTCTTTGTTATTTAAATAGTTTCCAAGAAGTTCATAAGCTGTTCCATTGTGGTGTGTTGTGGTGCTGAAAGCATGCTCACCCGAGAGTTCAGAGAATCTGCTGGATCTGCTCTTCACTCTGCCACCTACTTGCTGTGACTTTAAGTTTGATCTTCTGTTTCTCTGTTAAAAAAAATAATAAAATAAAAAAAATAAATAAAAGAACCTAGGCCATGGCGTTGCTATGAGGATTAAATGAGATAATGATGGAAAAATTGCTTTGTAAAACGAAAAGCATTTTACATCTGTATCCTGGAACAGATGCTTCTACATCTGCTGCCTAATTCCAGGCAATAGGAATAAGGATAAGGGCAGAAAAGTGAAGTCGGGTAGGCAGGATGTAGTGGGACAGGCAGGGTCCTGAATGTTTCTCAAATCACACTGCATGGGAGTGATGTCAGCGAGATGGCAGAATAGGAGGCTCCTGGCTTTCCTTTCTCCCTTGTATGCAACAAATAAACAACTGCACGCAGATAAATTTTCTCTGAGAGAAAGCCAGAAACTGGTTGAGAGACTCCTACTCACAAGGTAACTGAGAAAATATCTACATCAAAATGGATAGGAAACACTGAGGCACACTTAGGCACAAACCCCACCCCAGATACCACATCTTACAATTGGGAAGGAATCCCCAATTCCCAGCTTCTTACTAAGGAGTGAAGTATTTGGAACAAATAAATACTACCCCAACTTTTACAGTCCTCAGCCAAGGGACTGGTTTTTTTAATACTTAGCTCAAGAATTGACAGGGCTCTGCATTTGTGAGTCTCCATGGATCACAGAGAACAAAGAGATGGTTTTAATGAGCATGTGAGCACTTCCAGTAGCTGTATCCCCTGGGCTCGGTGCAGAGAATAGGCTAAAATGCCCAGTTCCTAGTTTCTCCCTGAAAGGAGTTTGCACACTTTTCCAGTTGCTGCCTGAGGGTTGGACCTCTAACTAGTCTGCATCTGGGAGCTGATGGACCTCTGGGACCTTGAATGGGAGTGTGGGCACTTCCTGCATCTTCTTCTCTGGCTCATTTCAGAGATAAATCCAGGTCTGCATATTCTCCCTGTAAGAAGTTTGTGCATGCATCAAGTGCACCAACTTTTACAGCTCCCATCACAGAGAATGCCTTTTTAATCACTTAGCTCGGGGAGTTGGTGGGACTCTCCATTCCTGAGCCTCCCTAGACCGCAAAAGAACAAAGAGGTGGTTTTTCAATGGGCACACGGGCAGTGGCTATACCCCCAGTATCAGAGGGTGTGGTTTGAATGACAGTGCAGGCATTCATCACAGATTCTCTCCCCAGCTTAATGCAGAGTGAGTGGGAGATGAACTCCAGCTCTGTTTCTTCCTGAGTATAGAAAGAACTGGAACATATATCTAACATTTAACTTCTCCAACTGCATCTCAAAGAACTGGCTTCTATCTCATCTGCCTTGGGAAACTGATAGGATTTGGCACACCCAAATCTTCTGGGGGCCACTAAGAACAAAGAAAGGGGTTTGGACAAGCACGAAGGTTTGAGAGGCACCTAGAACCTCTCACTGAACTGATTGGTGAGGTCCATCTTCTATGTTAGGTTAGTCTGACAAAACTGGGAGATGAAACTGTCTTTCATGTACAAAAACTAACAGAGAGTCAAGGAAAATGAATAAACAGGAAAATATGTTCCTAATAAATGGACAAGAAACCAGACCCTAATGAATGGAGATATATGATTTACCCAATAGAAAATTTAAAAGAACGATAATAAAGATGCTCAGCAAAGTCAGTAGAGCAATGCATGAACAAACTGAGAATTTTAACAAAGTTATAGAAACTACTAAAAAGCGTCAAACAAATCATACAGCTAAAGAATGCAATAATTAAACTGAAAAATTCAATAGAGGAGTTCAACAGCAGACTAGAGCCAGCAGGAAAAAGAAACAGTAAACTCAAAGACAAGTAATTGGAAGTTATCCAATCTGAGGAGCCAAATAATAATAATGATGATGAAAAGAGTGAAGATAACTTAAGAGATTTATGGGACACAATCGGTGAAACAATATACTCATTATTAGAGTCTCAAAAGGAAGTGAGAGAGACAGGAACAAAGACCCTATTCAAAGACATAATGGCTGAAGATTTTTCAAGTCTGGGGAAGGAAATAGAAATCCAGATCCAGAAAGCACAAAGTTAAAGACAAAAAGAAAACATACTTTTGAAATTAGACTTCTTTTAAATTCCAGATCCCCAATGTAACATTGGGCAGGAGCTTAAACAGTTAAGTCTCATTTTGTCTTTAACTGTCAGCAATTTGATTATAATGTATCTCCTTATGGGGCTCTTTGGGTTCATCTTATTTGATGTTCTTTGTCCTTTCAAGATCTGGATTCCTATTTCCTTCCCCAGATATGGGAAATCTTGCAAAGTGGAATAAGCCAGGCACCAAAAGACAAATACTACATGATTTCACTCCTATGTGGAATCTAAAGAAGTTGATCTCATGGAAATAGAGAGTAGCATGGTGGTCCCAGAGGAGTGGGTGGAGTGGGTGGGAGAGGAGTGGGGACTAGTATCAGAGAGATGTTGGTCGAAGAATATAAAAGTTTCAGGTTTCAGTTAGATAGGAGAATAAGCTCAAGAGATCGATCGTAAAACATGGTGACTCTAGTTAATAATATATTATATTCTTTTTTTTTCTTTGATATAGGGTCTCGCTCTGTCACCCAGGTTGGAGTGCAGTGGCGCAATCTTAGCTCACTCCAACCTCTGCCTCCCAGGTTCAAGAGATTCTCTTGCCTCAGCCTTCCAAGTAGCTGGGATTACAGGCACCCACCACCACTCTGGCTAATTTTTGTATTTTTAGTAGAGACAGGTTTTCACCATGTTGGCCAGGCTGGTCTCGCAAACTCCTGACCTCACGTGATCCACCCACCTCGGCTTCCCAAATTGCTGGGATTACAGGTGCGAGCTACTGCACCTGGCCAATAATATATTATATGCTTGAGAAATGAAAAAAAAGCAATGAAAGGGACAATATAAGTAAATCAATGTGTAATGTTAATGTTTCATCCAAAATTTTCTTAAATTCTGTGTGTTCATGAGTCCTGGTGTCCTAATTTATCTTTTATCCAAGGTAGATTTGGTGTTAAGTGCCCATTATTTAGAGTTCTTAAGATGAAAGGATAGTCAATTATCCTAGAATTGCATCTGCCCTCCTATAAACGACTAATTACCAATGCCAGAAACTTCAACCAACTTCTAAACTTTTACCCCAAAGACTCAATTAAAACAATTTAATAGCTCCTATTTCAGTAGTTCATACAACATTTGAACATTTGGTTCCATATGCTCCAGTTTTCACAATGCATTAGGTTTGTCACTATTATTTTCTACACTTCTACAAATAATTTCCAAATTTTGGTCCTAAATTAGAATACTTTGTATGTACAAAAAATTAACATAAATAATAGCAATTTATAACTCTACATGTTTTTTATATATCCAAATTATTACCTAGGCTAAATCATGCCATGCCTGATTTATTGTTCTGTGTTAATTGCAATGATAGCCATAAAGAAGAGATGTAGCAAGATGTATTTGTAGTTAATTTTGTAGATGGGATGCAAGATGTTTTATAGGTATGAGACAGTTTTGACAAGATAGCAGTCAGTTTTTAATTGGGGTTCTTCCTTGGATTTGGTGTGGACATGGTCAAAAATTTGTTTTGCATGAATTCTTCCCTTAATCCCAAATAACTAAAATAAATTTAACTGCTACAGATTTTTGGGGGGCACAGGGTAATTCTAGACTTACAATTAGCATCTTCATTCACCCAGGAAAAACAATACTATTTGAAGACTCTATTTTGTCACATTCTACATCATTCCACCATCACTCACACAAAGCAATTTTGGTCCCTCCAGAAAATGAAATGAAGCTTTATTCCATGTCTGCCTTTTGGCATAATTCAACTGATCTTCTACAACCTTCACTTAGTAATCTGTAAGTTGCTCACAAAAGAAGCTCTTGTCTCATCTTGCAATCATGTGATTTCCACTGTTCCATGATAGCTCAGAATACGACTTGTTTCTGCAGGTCTTTTCATACTTCTTTTTTATCAATGTATTTACTTTTTGAAACACTTGTGGGCCAAAACTGTGATTATGCCAAGGACCAATGAGGAATCAGGCCCCTCACAGGGCCTTACCCCCAAGTCTTTGTGCAAGGTTGCTTCATCTGGTGCTCCAAGAGTTAGAGACACTGATACTGATAACTCACTGATATCTTCTCTCATCTAATAAACTATCCTTTGCTTAGTATTGTCAGTTTAACTATCCCCCCATACCTTTTAAATCTTTTGCTAAAGGAATTATGGTGACACGGACAGAAAGTCCCATAGACACTTCTTCACCCCATCTTTCTTCTTTCCTAGATGACATCTCTCTCTCTCTCTCACTCCCTCTCTCCCCTCATACACTTCCCACAAGTGCAAAACTCCTGAGACAGGAGCAATTTGGATTGGATATGGCTGCAGCATAATGAGCTGGGAAGAATGGAAGAGCATGCATTTCATACATTAGCTACAGGCATAATGTTATATGCCTGTAAAATAAAAAAAAATACATATATGCCTTACAAGCTAGAAATGTGTCATTCCCAACTCCTTCCTCTCTCTCATCTTCTACAACCTTCACTTAGTAATCTATAAGTTGCTCACAAAAGAAGCTGTTGTCTCATCTTGCAATCATGTGATTGCATCCCAAGACTCACTGGGATCCAAGTCTTGTTGATTCTTCCAAAACCTCTCAGATCAGTCTCTTCCTTTTCACCCCTAAGGCCACTCTTCTTGGTCTCTCTCACCTAGATCCTGGATTTAATCTCCTGCCTGCCTCTGCTTTCTTCCCACTTTAATCTGGTCTTCATAGAGCTGCCTGAATGATCTCTTGGAGATATAACTCAGATATAGCTCAAACACCATCAATGGTTCCCTGTTGCTATTGGATGAAGTCCGAATTCCTTAGCCTCTCTTTGGAAGCCTACATAATCTGGTTCCTCATCTACTTTTTGAGCCAATGTTTTCACTCTGAGTCTAGGCCCTGTTGTGACAGGGCCATTCTTTTGAAGTTGGAGTGTTGATCTTCTCTTAAAATGCAAGTTAAATGTGAATTGAAGCCATAATCTACCATTAATCTTTCAGCATGCATCAGGAAAGCAGATGTTTCTAGAGTCAGTCACTGTAGACAGAAAATTGGACCAGAAAGGAATCAAAGTAAAGAGGTAGGAGGGAAGAGTTAGGCTCAGAGCTAGGAGTAAGGATCAAGTTTAAGTCTGAATCTGAATTGAGTAGCTCTTGGGGGCAAGGAAAGTACATGAAGAGTGGGAGTAAAGGAAAGCTGTAGAGTCATTGACAGGAAGTGGATGGTAATTTATAAATAATTCATAATTCATAGAAGGCCAGAGCCAGAAATGACTGGAGGTCATCAAGTCCCACACCTTATGACATTGAAAAAGGTAACCAATTCAGAGAGGTGAAACGCCTAGTCACACTTGTTCATCAAGCCTGCAGGAAATCCAGCTGGCCCTTAGGCCCCCAGACTCCCAAGCCATGCTGTCTCATATTACTTCCAACTAATCCATCCTCCCACCCTCCCCAGGGTGGATGATTTCATGGAGTCAGGCCAAGAAACAGGGAGCTGAATGTTTCTTTAGAATGTAGCAAAAAGAAAAGAGGAAGAGGGTTTTTTTTTCACCCCTCAGAAATTGTACTTTCCCTGGCATTCAATGGAGGCACCCAGGTCCAAAGTGACTGAGTCAGAGACAGAGGCGCCTTATCTTGGGCTATGTTGATTTGACACATAGAGAAGCTGACAGGAAGACAACCAAGTCCCTTTACTTGACTGCCATGATAAGTGAATTGGAACAGCTATGCAGCCTGGCCAAGGAATCATTTGGAAAGATATCATTAGGGTAGCCAAGAGAAGAAAATCAATGCCTGGCAACCAACCTAGTGGCCTTCTATAGTTAAAAATAGCATAGCATCATAATCTTTCTAAAGAGGTTTCACATCCATTATATCAAATTCTCCATCCAACATGTCTGTGAGGTAAGTATTATTTTCACTATTTAAAGATGAGGAAATGAGATAGAGAGGGCACATCCAAGGTCACAAGAGCTCATAAATAGAAGAGTTGGAATTGGGGCATAGGTCTGGTGATTTCAGATCCACTTGACTAAAGTCATTCAGCCTTAAACAGGAATGAAATTCTGACACATGCTACAACTTCAATGGACCTTGAAGATATTATGCTAAGTGAAATAAGCCAGACACTGAAGGACAAATACGGTATGATTTCACTTATATGGGATACCTAAATTAGTCAAATTCATACAGACAGAAAGTGGGACAGTGGTTACCAGGGACGGGGGGAAGAAGGAAAAGGGGAGTTATTGCTTAATAGATACAGAGTTTCAGTATGAGATGATGAAAAAGTTCTGGAAACAGATGGTGGTGATAGTTGTACAAAAATGTGAATGTACTTAATACTACTGAACTGTATATACACTAATAAATGGTTAAAATGGTGAATTTTATGTTATGTGTATCTTACCACAGTAAAAAATAAAAT
Organism: Homo sapiens; assembly: GCF_000001405.40. NCBI lineage: Eukaryota > Metazoa > Chordata > Mammalia > Primates > Hominidae > Homo > Homo sapiens. The sequence continues at coordinate 99,562,601 of NC_000009.12, forward strand.
TTTTTAAAAAGTAAATTTACATGAATGTGGTGATACATATTTTCTAACAATTTCGTTTCTAAATCATAGTTTATAGGGTGTTAAAAAAAAAAAAAACAAAAAAGGTCGTAGTTTACAGAAGAGGAAAGTGAGGGCCAGAGAGGGTCAGGGATGAATGTGGGTCAGTTAGAAAATTAGGAAGAGTAAGGCCCAGCAAGTGTATTCCCGGGCACTGTTAGTGCTTTCTAGCCTTAATCCCCCTTCCCTTTACAAAACCTCCATGGCTAGCTACCCTATGCTAAACACTTACCATGTACCAGGCCATGGGCTTTTGTGGGAACCTTCTCTCATCGATCCAATCTTTAGCTGATGTAGTGCTCCAGGACTCAATCTTGGATCTCTTGTTTGCCAAATCCACTCCTTAAATTGATTTAGGTCAGTTCCATGGCTTTCTCCCTAAGTTACATCTCCACTTCTGATCTCTCCTCTGAACTCAACATCTCCTCAATTAGAAATGCTAAAGCATCTCAAATTTAATATATCTCAAACTAAACTCTTGATTTATCTCCCCCAAACTTGCCCATCATCCAGTATTCTCTGTTTCAGTAAATGACAACTGTATTTCTGTTACTTGGAGTCAGGCTTGACACCTCTCTTTCCATCACAACCATTCTATCAAATCCATTTGCAAATCATCCTATGAGCTCTACTTTAAAAATATAGCCTGAGTCTGATCATTTCTCACCGTCTTCCCTGAAACCAGCCTACTACAAATTAACATCACTTCTTGGCCAGACTATGGTAATAGCCTCCTGTAGTGGATGCTGTGATACACTAATCAGATTCCCCTTCAGGACCACACTGTTCATTCCTCTAGCTGCTAGGAGTTTTGGCTGCTAAAGGCTCATAGTTGCATCCGTGTTTGGGAATGGCCCTTGGAAAGGAGCTGCGTCATCTAAGGCTGCGCTTCCCCTAGATATCCACATGGGGCAAGACCTCATTTAATTCAGCTTTCTCTGTTCAAATGTCATTGCATTATGAAGGCTATCCTTGACCACCGCTATGAAAAATCATAATCTCTTTTATTCCGTAGCTCCCTTACCTTGATTTAATATTTTTTTCACAGCATTTATCAGCCTCTGACTCATATTCATCCATTTACTTATTTTTCTGAAATGTAAGCGCTCTCTCTGCTCTTTTGAGAGACAGAGAGAGAGAGAGAGAGTATGTGTGTGTCCATCTGGTTAGCCCCAGCACCTAGAACAGAGGCTGGTGGCACATGGTGGACACTTGTGTCAGTTTCCTGTTGCTGCTGTAATAATCACTACAAACTTACTGGATTAAACAACATGCATTGATGATCATACAGCTCTGGAGGTCAAAAATTCAAAATGGGTCTCAGTGGGCTAGAATCAAGGTGCGGGTGGGGCTTCATTATTTTTCCTGGAAGCTGCAGGAGGGGAAAGTTTCCTTGCCTTTTGCAGCTTCTAGAGGCAGCCTGCATTCTTTGGTTCATGGCATTGTTTCTCCATCTTCAACGCTAGCAGCACAGCATCTTCAAAACTCTCTCTACCTCTGACTTCTCCTGCTTCCCTCTTTCACTTTTAAAGACTTTTGTGATGACATTGGGCCCACTCAGATAATCCAGGATAATCTCCCTACTTTAAGGCCAGCTGATTAGCAGCCTTAATTCCATCAACAACCTTAATTCCCCTTTGTCGTGTAACCTAACATCACCACAAATTCTGAGGATTACGACATGGACATCTCTGGGAAATGTATTATCTGTGTCTGCCAACAACAACATTCAATGAGTATTTGATAAATAAATGACTGAATTATTATCTAATTTCACTCATCAAGTAATTCCTTAGAATCAATGTAATTATTCTTCCATTTTACACATGAGGGAAATGAAGCTTGAAAGGTTAAGTCACCTAGCTAATAAATAGCAGAGTAAAACTCAAACAGGCTAACTCAAGACAGTTTCTGACTGTCCCCACTTGTTTCATTTTTCTGTTGTCAGCTTACAAATCTACCTCCTTGACTAGACTCAGAGCTCCTAGAGGAGAGAGACCATGGTTTGCATATTTACAACCCCAAAGCCCAGCCCAAGGCATGGAAAATAGCAATAATAATAATAGTAGTAGTAGTAGTAGGAATTTACTGAGTACTTAACAAGTGCCAAGTGCTGATATAAACACTACCTGCACCCAGAAAACGTATTGAGTAAATGTTGAGTGGATAAAACCAGCTTTTCTCACTAAATCCCAACAGCTACATTTTTAGCCCTATCTAATACTCAAGTTCTATACTATAAATGTGCAGATTAAGTCATATTAAATTAGAGAGGCTCTAAAACATCATCAAGAGTGGGTTTATTTCTGTCTCCTGGTCTGAATCCAGAATCCCAAGTCATTATCCATCAGTCTGTCTAATGAGTGAACATTCACTGTGAATAGATTTATCCATTCTAGATTAAGAGTTTGATTTGACAAACTAAAAAATAGTGACTAAGATATCCAGAGGTCTTCACAGTTTCCTAAGCACTTTCACAAGTACACTTAATTCTCAAAACAACATTGTACTTAGGGGAGGGATGTATTATTACCCCCATTTTATGATAGAAAAAGCTTGGCTCAGAAAACCTAAATAGATTGCCCAAGTTCACCTAGCTAGTGAGAACCACATTCCAGGTTTCCTGACTTCTATATCCACATTTTTCTACTATGTAGTGCTTCCAAGCAGAATGTCTTATGGCTTTTAGAGAGGGGAATGTCCATGCAGACTGGCAAGGCTCAGCTTCCACGTGGATCCGTGGGGACCGTGCCAGCTCCCCGAGCCTGGTTTGCCTACTCGTTCGGATCATGCAGCTCTCTCGATTGTGAGGTTTACAATTTCTCAGTCTGCACAATGAAAGAAAACCCTAAGAATTCAAATCACTCCGTAAAGTCTAAAAAAGGAGAGGGGATAATTGCCACTGGAGTGGATGTTTATTTGTCCTGAAAAAAAAAATATTTTCACTGAATAAAAATTCTGCATAACATAGAACTCAGGGGAAGAAGTTGGCAGGTGCAGGAGATTTCTATTCTGTTTTCTTTTTATCTACTTTTCTAAGCATCCTTTCTATTTCCATGCTTTGAAAAGCATGGAAGAGAACTCGGGCTCTGGGATAAAGAGAGAAAGAAGAATCCTCGAGTTACGGAGCCTGGCTAACCTCTTTTCTGTGAAGATCTGTGTGCTCTTTTGTGCAATAATGAAGAGATGGAAAGAAAAGAATTGTCCCCACATTATCCACCACTAGGCCAGCCAAAAGGACCTCTGACTAGGGAAGCAAAGCCACCCCAACACTGGCTAATTCCCCTCACTCCTTCCTTGCCAGATGGTGCTCTCAGAACATGACTGTCCCCTCTGTGATTGTCCATGATTTGAGGGTCAGGAGCCACCACAGGAAAAGTATCTAATTCCACTTTCACACACTTGTAGTGTCAGCAATCCAAATACAGAACTCTATTTTGGCCACATTTTAACTACTCTGGCATCAGCACAGGAAAAGAAGCCCACCTGTTGGTATCAGTGAAAAAAATCTCCTAAGTCACTTCTCAGCTATGCTCATCCTGGATTCTTCACCTCATCAAACATCCTACAAGGTCTGGTGTTCCAAGAGGCCAATCTATACTGCAACTCTAGTCAGAGAGAACATTTGAAAGCATAGAATTCTTCTCTCCTAGTCTGTTTCCTAAATTGCCATCAAAGCAATTTTCCCAAAGCATACACTTATTCATTCTACACATATATATTCAGTTACTATTAGGTGCTGGGTACTTTTCCAGGTACTTTTCTTGATTGCTGTGGCAAGTGCCACAGTAATCAAGGCAGGAAATACCTGCTTTTATCTAGAGGGAGGAGAAGATGTTAAACAAACCAACATATCTTATTTCTGATAAGTAATTGTAACAGAAAGAAACCAAAAGAGGGTAGTAGTGGTTGTGGGGTAGAAAGTGACTTGAGTGGGGTGATAGCTTACATGGTAAGTGTCATTTGAACCAAGGCCTGAGACAAGAAGGAAATTGGCTGTGCCAAGAACTAAGCATTCTAGACAAAGAAAAGAGAAGATTCAGAAGATAGAAATAAACTTGGCAGTTGGAAGAACATAAAGAAGTCCCAGGAGGCTGAAAGATGGTGAGCAGAGGGAGAGTGGTAGGAGTTGGGGCTGGAGATTGAAGCAAAAGCTGGAGTGGCTGTGGTAGAAAAGGAAATAAATAGGTAGACTCCAGACATATTTGGGAGGTAGAGCTGGCAGCATGTTCTGAACGAGTTGGCATGGGGAGTGCTACAGTTTGGATGTCTGTCCCCTCTGAATCTTACGTTGAAATGTAATCCCCAGTGTGGCAGTGTTGGTGGGGGTGCCTAGTGGGAGGTGCTCGGGTCATGGAGGCAGATCCCTCATGAACAGATGAATGCCCTCCCTTTGCGGGAGGGAGTGAGCTCTCTCTGTATTAGTTTCCAGGAGAGCTGCTTGTTACAAAGAGCCTGGCGCCTCCCCATTTCCCTTGCTTCCTCTCTCACCATGTGATCTCTCACACCAGCTTCCCTTCCCCTTCTGCCAGGAGTGGAAGCAGCCTGTGGCCCTCGCCAGATGCAGATGCCCAATCTTGAACTTTTCCAGACATCATGAGCCAAATAAACCATTTTTCTTTATAAATTACCCAGCCTCAGGTATTTCTTTATAGCAACACAACATGGATTAAGACTGGGAGTTAGGAAAAAACAATCAAGGATGACTCTGAGTTTTAGCTTCAGCAACTGAGTGGTGGGTAGTACCATTTTGAGTGGGAGCAGTGAGGGGAACTAAGTTGGGAGAAAAACAAGTGTTTTGCTTTGAATATGTCCCACATAAAGTAGCCATTAGACACTCAAGGGAAAATGTCAAGCAGGTGACTGGATACACAACTCCAGAGGTAAACAGAAGTTTTGAGCTAAAGATACTTATTTATGAGTCATTGGTTTATATACCCACTACTTAAAGCCCTGGACCACTTAGGGGAAAGGGCAAAAGGGGAAGAAAAGAGTCATGGGGCATTCCAGGATCCAGATGATTAGAGTGGAGGAGGAACCAGCAAAGGATAACAGGAAAGAGTTGCCGGTGAGGTGGGAGGAAAATAAGGGCAGTGCCACCTAATGAACCAGGTGAAGAAAGTGATCAACAAGGGAGATATTAACTGTGCCAAACGTTGCTAAAGAGTTGAGTTTAAAAAGGGGAAGAAGGCTGGGCACGGTGGCTCATGCCTGTAATCCCAGCACTTTGGGAGGCCAGGGCAGGCAGATCACCTGAGATCAGGAGTTTGAGACAAGCCTGGCCAATATGATGAAACCCCATCTCTACTAAAAATACAAAAAATTAACCAGGCGTGGTTGTAGGCACCTGTCATCCCAGCTACTTGGGAGACTGAGGCGGAAGAATCGCTTGAACTCAGGAGGAAGAGGTTTCAGTGAGGTGAGATCACACCACTGCACTCCAGCCTGGGCCAACAGAGTGAGACTGTCTCAAGCAAAAAGGAGTGGGGGGTAGGGGGAAAAGAAGTGACCAGTGAGTTTGGCAAATGAAACCGCTGGTGATATTGACAGGAGCAGTGTCAGTAGAATGGTGGGTTGAAAAAGGGAATAAGATTCCCATCACAACCACTTTCCCATTTAAAACCCATCAATGGTTCTCCATCATATAAAAAGATAAAAACCACATTCCTTACCATAAAAGTGACTTTCCACATCTAATACTATTAAGGAAATCAGTAGTTTTCAGGGTTCTTAATTGCAAAACAAAACAAAACAAAAAACAGAATTCACTTTAATTTATGAAAGCAGAACTGGGCTTATGAAAAGATATTAGGAATCTCACAAGATCTCCCTAAGGGAGGGCCCAAGAGCCATGCTTGGATGTTACCATGACCAGAAACAACACAAACAGGAGCCACACTGCCAGGAGAAACCTCATCCATTCCATGGAACGGTTCCAGCTTAATTGGACCTAGAAATCCCACATGGTTGCCCCAGAAGAAGCAGATGCCTCCACCACCATCTCTGTCAGAAGACCAATCTGTCCACACAGTCGGCATCTCCCTTTGCTCATTTTATCCTCCTGTTGGTAGGTCCTTGGCCACATGAGGAACCCTTACTGAGAAAGAGTCTGCAATCTACATTATCTATCTCACCTCCCAAGAGCTCTTTCCCCTTCTTTTGGTAACTATCTTGATTTTTGTTAGCCTAGCAGTCCACTGGCTTTGGAGGAAGCTGACTCTAGTCTCAACCCATGGATAGTACTTGCAACATGGCCCAGGGCAATGAGCATACTCCCCACTTCTGGCCACAATGATAGGTTTAGGGACAAGCATATGACCTAGCTCTGGTTAGTAAAATAAAAGAGGCATTTACATGAGAAATTTCTGTGAAAGAAACTACCTTAATCTTCCAAGAGAGCTCCCGAAAGTCATCTTCACTCTCTGTTCCTGGATTGAAGCCTTGTCCCCAAGAAAGAACATAGCCCTGGGAGGGATTAGTTACAACCAGCTTTGGGCTGGAGGGCCACCAGCCTAAAATGATGCTGACCCTGCTGAAGGCAGAGGAGAAAGACTGAAAGAAAACTTCAAGGAGATTACTAGGCCACTGAAATAAACCAATTCTGAAATCTTTCCCTACCTCTACCCTTTCCAGTTTCCTAACCTCCTAAATGCTCTTCATGTTTAAGCAACTTTGAACTCATTTTGGTTAACAGCAATGAAACATTGTAACTGAGTCAAGCCCCAGTCGCCTATCTGGGCTCATTTCCTAGCATCACTCATATGATGTCATTCACTTTAAATCTCCAAGCATTCTATTAAGACTCTTCCTGCCGCCTGAATGTCTCTCCTTGCTTTCCTCCCTTGCTGCCTGCCTGCTTCCTACTCACCCTTAAGACCCAGCTACAGTGTCACCTCCTCCCTGAAGGACTCCCATATTCCCCTGCCCTCGCTCTATTATAGCATACATCGATGTCTAACCTGCATTACAGTAAATCTTGAAGGTGTGTGCCCCCTACATTAGATCATAAGCCCTTTGAGAGTCAGGACTGTCCCTCTATCCTAGGTGCCTTTCACAGAGTATGTGGCAGTGTCTTTGCATTCATCAAGAGTTTGTTAATTCTTCAGCGATTCCCAAACATGTGTGGACAGTAGTGATTTCCTCTGGTGCGGTATTGTAAATTCACATGGTGAGACAGGCTTGTACAGATTTTCTAGTCAATCCCCAAAGAACGAAGTCATCTTTGATGACAGCTACTCTTAAAATCACTGAGTCCTTACAGCTCATCTAATCTACCATTTCATTTTACAAAGAAAAGAAAGCAAAGACCAGAGAAGGTGAAGTCATGGAAAGTTAGAGTGAAGCTCAGTCTTGAGACCCACATTTCCTCTTTCAGTGTCCATTCTACAGCAGTAAGTTGCCTCTTTCTTATTGGCCCTGAGAGTTGAGGGTAAGCAGGACTGACCATCATTGAGCATCACTCTGGGCATCTTTCGTGTGTGTGGCCCACTCCTTTGCCACTCCCATCTTTTAAGAGTCCTCCTGCCCTCTGCCTCCCTCACAGTCAACTGGAGAAGCTACTGATGGGAACTATTAATATATACATAGAGGACAATTGTCTCTCTCATCTTACCTTTGTCAGAAAGGGAAAGACCTTACTCCTCCCAAAGGAATTTCTGAGTTTGTATGAAAAAGAGGAGGGATTCAGAAAAGGTAGGAAGATTTTCTCATGGCCTCTAAACCTTCAAACTCCTCTTCTGGAACATTTAATCCCTTTCAGAGCAGCCACTGACTGGATTTAGGAACAGTGGGTCAAGGCTCTCTTTCAAGTGAATTCCTCAGCTGCCCTTGGCCCCCTCCCTCAGACTCTGGCTCTCTCCTGCCCAGCACTATGCACTCATCTGACAGGCTTTGCTTTCCAAACTCTGGCTGGCCATTGCCTTCCAGGCAAATGATTACCGCTGCAGGGTCCTAGAGCAGGAAACACGGGATGGCACCCCCAGGAGTCAGGGAAGGCTTATGCACAAGGTGATTTTTTTTTAGCTCATTTAGCTCATGCTTTAAGGATAAATAACTTTGCCAAGTGAGGGAAATGTGAGGATGGTGGACTGGTGGGGAGAGAGTGAAGGACATCAAAGAGAACCTATGCAAAGGCATAGTTGTCAAAGGACTTGGTTTGTCTTGGAATGATATAGTGGGTTGACTGATGCCAGCCCCCTCCCCAATGATATATCCATGTCCCAAAACCTGAAATATGTGAATGTGACTTTACTTTGGAAAAGGGTCTTTGTTGATGTAATTAAGTTAAGGAACTTGAAATGAGCTCATCCAGGACTATGCCAGTGGCCCTACATCCAATGACAGGTATCCCTATAAGAGAAAGAAAGAGGAAGACTTTAGATAAAAGAGAAGGGAATGACACACAAAAGGAAAGGCCCCATGAAGAAGGAAGCAGAGATTAGAGCGATGCTGCAATGCTGCCACGCCAAGGAATGCCTGGAGCCACCAGACGCTGGAAGAGCCAAGGAAGGATTCTTTCCCAGAGCCTCCACAGAGAACATAGCCCCTTGACCCTGATTTCAAATTCTGGCATCCAAAACTGAAAGGGAATAAACCTCTGTTTAAGCCACTGAAACTTTGTGGTAATTTGTTACAGCAGCCTCAGGAAACTCACACACATGGCCAGAGGTACATTGTGGCAGGAGTTCAGGATGCATTGCTGGGTACACCAGCAACCCCTCTATTCCCCCTTTCTATTATGTGTAGATCTGAGCCATGTTGTCCTTCCTTTACAAGCAAAGCCAGGCTTATTAGCAAAAACCAGCCATAATCATGAGGTTCCTCAAAGGGGCATAGTCGAAATATGCTAATGGAAGGAAAAGCCCTATCCTCAATAGGACTTGAGATGAGACTGACTCATTTTAAAAACAGACCAGAGCCAGTGCAATGGCTCACGCCTACAATCCCAGCAACTCACAAGGCTGAGATGGGAGGATTCCTTGAGGTCAAGGTTTCAAGACCAGCCTGGACAACATAGCAAGGCCCCATCTCTTTAAAAAAATTACCCAGGCATGGTGGCACCTATCTGTAGTCCCAGTTACTCAGGAGGCTGAAGTGGGAGGATCACTTGAGCCCAGGAGTTCGAAGCTACAGACAGCCGTGATCACACCATGGCACGCCAGCCTGGGCAACAGAGCCAGACTTTGACTCTTAAAAAAAAAAAAAAAAGACAAAAAAACTCACTGCTTGCCTTGGTGAGGGGTACTCACCTCTTAGGTAATCATATAAAGAAATCATCCCAGCTCTCTCTGGAGGTAATCTGACTAGTACTGCAGACTCACAGTCACCCAGAGGACGACAGCCAACCCTCACCTCTCACTCTCTGGGCCCTGTGATGCCTGAAGCACTAAAGCTGGTCATTAGAGTTTGCAAGAGCTGAGAGAGAGCAAGGGCAGAACTGCCTCTTGGGCAAAGGTGTGAAGTGAGGAGCCCACACTGAAGAGGAAATAGTTTGGGGCAACTGGACTCAGTAGAGAAAAGAACCATCAGCAGAAAGGCAAACACCTTCTTCAGGTGCCTAATACTTTCCTTAGGTCTAAGACTTTTTCTTGTGTGGCATAAAATAACAATGAGCACATGCTCCAGCTTTTGTATCTTGGTGCTGTACGACCCTTCCTAGATCTGGAAAAGAACCTCCCAGAACAGCACCATTGTCTGTTGTGTCTGGTGGGTCTGTTGTGTCTGATGGGTCTGGTGACAGCTGATGGGACAGCATGGAGGAGGGGAACACCCACAGGGAGAGAACTGGCCTTAGGAGCCTCTATTCTCTGGGACTGGATAGGTGCTGCCTCCTGTGGGTGTTCCTGTGCAAGAGAGGTCACCTTGGGCAATGACAGCAAGAAGACCCCACTGGAACCAAGCTAGGAGTAAAATCAAGGCACTGAGGGTTTTCAGCCAGGAAGGGCATGATTAGATTTGCTTTTTATAGAGATCACTCTAAGAGCAGTGTGGAAAATGGAGTGGCTGGGAAGAAACTGGTAACAGAAGGATCACGTTCCAGAATGTTTAAATAACAGTCCAAGAGAAAGATGAAGACCAGACGAAGGCGGAGGCAGTGTGGGCAGAGCACCGACTGGAGAGGGGGTTCTAACTTGGGACACTGAGCAGAGAGCTGTTCTGTTAAACCAAGATCTGGACAGAAGACAAGTGGCAGAATTCTCTGTCCCATCCCTGTTCCCAGCAACCTGGGATGCTGGGGCAGCAGGGCTTCTTAGAGATGAAGAAAATCCTGGACATTTCCATGTTTGATGCTTTTAGAATTTTAAATAAGAAGAGAAAAAAAATCAAAAACAGGGCCAAATAAACAGTGGTATCTCTTAAATATTTGCTTTTTTAAAATTATGGCTTTTAAATCACATGCATAATGCACTGTATGTCTGTTTACTCTTCAAAGACAATCATAGAAGCCCCTCCACCCCCACTTTTTTAAGCATCAATTCATCAATTATACCATCAGGGCTCTAGTCCCATAAAGAGACACAATTTTCAGTCGTGTGATGAGAGTCTTCGCCCAGGCTTGGCAGTGCCTCCCTGAGACAGTGTGCATAACCCCAATTGGAGATGAAGTTAAAAATAGACATTGGAGGCTGGCCGTGAATATGAGGCCTGGGCATGTGGTCCTCTGTGATAGACACTGAGGCTAGCTGTGCATGCTCTGAGAGTCGAACCCTGAAAAAGTGCCCAAAGAAATAGTTACTCTCAAGGGGCTGGCTGGGAAGAGCTAGAAGCCAGAGACAAGGCTGAGAGTAAAAGCTGGAGGCAAAGGGGAAGAGCCGTGAAGTATTCCCAAGCCCACCAGCTGTCAGCCACATGGGTAGGGAGACGCTCTGGGAGTTTAAGAAGATAGCCTGGAACAGACTCACTCCCAAGCCCTTTAGCCAACTGGGCAAGAAGAAAAGCACATTCTGTAGGAACCCGGGGCTTCCAATCAGGTGGGAATTTGTCTCCTTCCCACAGCATTAGTTTGAGCCTTAAGTCCACTATCATGGCCCTTCCTGATTAGGGTTTTAACCTATATTTTCTTATTCTCTTATTCTTCTGTCTTTAACCCTGGCACATATCCTATGGGCAGTATTGAATAGTGAGAAAAACACTGGCTTTGAGGTCACACAGACCTAGCTTCAAATTCTTTGGCACAGTAGTACACTATTCTTAGCTTCAATTTCTCTACCTGTAAAATGGGAGTGATAGTACTAACCTCATAGGATTTGTTGTGAAGATTAACAGATAATAGTTGTGAAGGTGCCTTGTGATCTCAAAGCACCACACGCACTACCCTGCAAAGTCAGATCATCGTTATTGCAATTGGTGTGGGGAAAACCTTCTGGCCTGAGGCACCAAAGCCTGGGCATTGTGGCCACAGAACTATGACTTGCAACCTAAGGTTTCACACAGCAACAGTCTTGGGACTACCCACTTCTTATGTCTCAGTATTGTGGGACATCTTTTGCCCCAATTTCTCTTTTTCTACCACCCATAACCACCTGTCTCATTCCAGCTGGCTCTTGCATGACCTAATTTGGATCTGTTCTTTACACAGGCCTTGTCCTAAGCTCAGGCCTTCAGTAGCTTTTCACAACCACACCAGTCCAACATGGGCTTTTGCTTGGCAAAAGCCTCTGACCTCTACTGGTTGGTGAAGCAGAATGAGGAGAAATGCTATTACACTGACCTTCCAATAAATACGGCTCCCGCAGCCTCATGTGCAAGGCTTCCTGTTCATTCCTCATTGTTCTTCAAAGCCCAGCTAAGACATAATCTCCTCCAGGAAGGCTTCATGATGCCTCAGATGCTCTGAATTCTGGGTCTCATCTGCCTCTTCTAATAGCCCTGAGCACTTTGGGCTTTATTTACATTATAGTGATGTGAATTCATATAGATATTTCTACAACCCCCATGAGCACTTTGATTTACCTGTGTATTCCTTACAGTGCCAGACACAGAGTGGATGCTCAATAATATTTATTGAGTCCATAGCAAACCCACTCATTAAGGCTTTCTATTTACCAAAGGTACTTCACCACCCCCCGCCCCCCCCAAATAATTTCAGTGCTTTATAGTAGAGGTCAGAAAGCTATGGCCCATCACCTGTTTTTATAAATAAAGCTTGACTTGAACACAGCCATGCGTTTTCATTTATTCAGCATACATCTCTGATTTTGTACTACAATGGCAGAGTTGAACAGTCATGATGGAGACCTTACATGATAGGGTGCAAAGCCAGAAATATTCACTCTCTGGCTTTGCAAAAATTTTGGTCAACTCTATTTTATAGCACAGAAGTATAGGTTTCTTTATCTGCAATGCAGGGATAATAACGAACATCACAGAGCTGTTGGGAAGATCATAAACGGTAACAGACGTAAAGTTTTTCTGTACATGGCATATACTCTTCCTGCCACATGGGGTCAAATTGAGGCTTGAAATCTCAAGTGATGATGGGTAAGTGTGAAGGTGGCCTATCCCACCAAAGCTGCTACCTGGTAAGCATACAGTGTTGCACAAACACGTAACTGAAATATCTGCCAACAATGAACCAAACTCCAGCCTGCCCTCCAGAATAGACTCTCCCCATATGGCATTAATCAGATGGGGCTATGGCTGCTGGAGAGAATAAAATAAGCCCCTGAATGTTTTTGTTCCTTATTTATGATAAATGCTTTTAGAAGTCACTTAATTAGTGCCATTGGCAGATTTGCATAACTGCTGGTTATGGTAGATAAGAATGATTTTTTACTTGATTTGACAGAGCTAACATGCAAACCCCAAAATATTTTCAATGAGCCTCCTAGCTAGTTATCAACATGAATCTTATACTTCCTAAGGTGGGCTTCTGAGTCTCGAGGAAGTGACATGTTTTAAGACTCGGGGGAAGTGTGGGTAATGGGATAAGCAGGCTTGGGCACAGCCCTGGGTTTATATGGAAGAAGGAGACATTTCATTGCAACTGAGCTGGAAGAGGTATTCATCAAGAAGAGAGAGATGGGCTGGAATTTGAAGACCGTGCTACTTCTGGCTGGGATGGTGGGAGGTGAGCTGTTCAGGATCCATCTCACACCAAGTCTCTTCGTTTTGAACATAATGTGCTGCTGCCTTTGTCCAGCTGAGAGATTTCATCCATCTTAATGAGATATAAAGCCTTCTCCCAGAAAGGGGAAGTTGTGCTCCAAGCTCCTGAGCAAGTGAACATGGGCCTGACCCCAGGATCCCATACCCACTCAGATACCCTCTCCACCACCTCATGCTGCAGGGGCACCTCAAGTTACTGAGCATCAGACCCCTTCACGGCCACCATCAAACTGAACCTGGAAAGGAGGCAGAGAGGGTCATTAATACTCTTGATTGTGCAGAGTAAGAATCTGAGGCCCAGAAAACTGCATATGGACCCCACCTGTGGCATACACAGATGGGAACTCTGATCCCAGCCCTGCAGTCTTCTCCACCATGCTGCCCCTAGCGGAGATGGCCTCCTGGTTCCTTGTTGCTGACTGCAGAACTCTGGGCTGGCCCTTCTGATCCTACTGCCAGCCACGTGGCTGGAGCTCTGCTCAGACCAGACTGTCCATCTAAGATTCCCCACCAGCTGCCTGATCCACGTTGCACTGACACCCAGGGCTTTCTAGGGCTGGGACTAGGGTGAAGCGAGTGAGCCATCAGGGTACAAAACTCAAGGAGGTGCTCACACTCAGGGTTGTGCAAATGCCATCGCTTTCTTGTGAAGATTAAAGTAAAGTACTGCATATAAAGTGCTTAGGTGCTGTAAAAGTATCTGATATTGTTTTTAGTAATAGTTGCACTAGTAATAGCAGTACTGAGAGGAGCTCTGTTTTTTCTTCTACGTGGAGATTAAATTAACTTTTTCGGTGAATAAGCTAAGAAATTTGTAGTTACATGAATGTGAGCTATTGTTCCAGAAGAATTTGCATGTCTTTAAGGGCTCAAATGTTCCTAATGAGGACTGTTAGTTTTGTACCATTTCATGGCCCAAGTGACCCTGTGATCCCGCCCTGCCTTTCTTACATGCTAAGAAGTTTGGATTCCACACTGGCACTAACAGGAGTCACTGACGGATTTTAAGCTGGAAGTGATACAGCAAATCTGTGCTTATGAAGATCCCTCTGGCAATGTGATCTCGAACCAGGCAGGGCCAGAACCAAAGGCAAGGAGGCCAGTTGGAGGCAGGTGAACCGTCCTGGCAGGAAACAATGAGGCCTGAATTAGGGTAGTGGTAGTAGGGACGAGAAAGGGCCAGGCAAGAGACTATGGATGAGGAAGTAAAATCTGTTCTTCACTCCTGGAAAAACAACTGTGAATCAGTGATACCATCTTTATCCCCAAAGGCAAACAGATCCTTCATTAGTGCTAGCAATTGAGAGCTGTGTGAGGTTTGGTACCCACTAGCTGCTAAACATGCATATAAAAGGAAGCACACCATATGCTAAGATGAGTTAATGCCAATTGGCCCCACTCAGATATATACTGCTTTAATTTTAACACTTCATTTGAACAAAAGTCTACTTCTAATGAAGCTAAGGATTCCCAAAGAGTTTCTTCCTGCTGGCCAATTTGACTCGATTTCTTTCCTTGGTGATGAAATGCCTCTTTCGATAGGTATGACCAGGATTCAGATGTCAATGAAATAAGATAAACAACGTCATGGACATATGAAATTAGATGCCTTGGAAGATAGTGAGTTCCTTGTCACTGAAGGCATGCAAGAAAAAGCTAGACAGCCACTTGATGGAGTTGTTGCAGCGAATATTCAAACATCAGAAGGTGAGTGGGATAGGGATGTTGGGCTTGATGACCTTTAAGAGCTTCCAAAACCATGAAATTCTAAGAGGTTGAATCAGAAATGTAGTTCTTGGTTGATCAGGGGAACCCCATAATTACAGCAGATCAGAATGAGGATCTAAGATTTTTCAAGCAAATCCAGAAGTTATAACTACCTCAGGGAAAAAATCTGGATAACCCATCAGCCAAGATGGCTCAAGGACAGGAGAATGGAGATCATCAGAAGAAAAGTTCTGGCCGGGCTCAGTGGCTCAAGCTTGTAATCCCAGCACTTTGGGAGGCCAAGGTGGATGGATCCCTTGAGCACGGGAGTTCAAGACCAACCTGGGCAACATGGAAAAACTCTGTCTCTACAAAAAATACAAAAAATTAGCCAGGTGTGGTGGAATGCACCTGTAGTCCCAGCTACTAGGGAGGCTGACGAGGAGGATCGCTTGAGCCCAGGAGGCAGAGGTTGCAGTGAGCTGAGATCACGCCACTGCACTCCAGCCTGGGTGACAGAGCAAAACCTTGTCTCAAAAGAAAAGAAGAACAGCTTTGCTTTCAACATCATTTTGATGACCCTCGCACAAATGAGAAACTTTTTAGGGAAAAGAACTAGGAAAACACTTTGATTTTCTCTTCTATACAACTGACGTGTGTCTCTTTTCACTCTGGCCATCAGAAAGCTCAGAACTTAACTTGCACATGGAAATAACAATCCTGCAGACCCTTGGGTTCTGTTTGTCATCAGTGCCCTCTCCTGTCCCACCTCACCAGCCTTCTGGCCTCTTATTTTAATGTATATATTTTCTAGTCCTAATTTTGTTTTTAATCTATAGTTTATGTAATATGTATGTTTCCTATAAGCTACCTGAACTGTTCTGAGAAACGAGGAGGAAAAAAACAAGAAAATAAATAATAAACCACCATCAAGGAAATGAATTATTGGCTTTATGTGGTAACCTGTGAGGAAATTATCAGGGGCGCATTAGACTGAGAGCCATAGACTCGAGTAGTCAGCACTCCTCTGCCATAATGGAACTCCTCTCCACCCCTGGACTTAGTCTCCTCTTCCACAAAATAATGTCTGGAGTCCCGGCCTAGATTGAGCTTTGGCTCTCGAGATCTCCTTGCCTCTGGTTGTTCTGCTCAAGTTCCCAAGTACATCTCCAGATACTGCCGCTCTACCAAGTTCAGGCCTCTCCTGGACTTTAAGTTCTCCTACCTATAGATGACATCCTTGATTTTATATAAATATATTTTTAAACAATATGCTTCTATATACTTACTGTGTTTCTTGTACTGTTCCGAATACTTCCCTGTAGTAATTCATGTAAACCTCATAATAATCTTATGAGAGAGATACTATTATTATGCCCATTTTACAGATGTGAAAACTGAGGCCTTTAGAGGTTAAGTAAATCACTAGTAAATGACAGAACCAGATTCAAAATCTAGGCAACCAGGCTCTAGTTCATGCTCTTAACTATATGTTCCCTCAAATCTAACCATGACTTTGACTCAGCTCCCAGACCTTACTTGGATTATTCACTCTTCTGTATTATTGCCTTCCTGTAATCCAATTAAACAAAGACTTTCCTGAGTGCTACTTGGGGTCAAACTCTGTGCTGGGACAGGAACCAGGCATGCATCCACATTATCCCACCTATTATATTAGGATCTCTCTATCTGGGGACAGGAGTCAAACACGTACCCCATTCGCTAGTATCCAGAGGGAAATTAAATACATGCTGTGTGAAAGTTCAAGCAATGGGCTATGCCAATGGGACTTTCATTGACAGAGATGGAAATACAAAGGGATGGGAAGAGCATTGCAGGCAGGTAGAAAGATCTGAGACAAGCCCAGAGGCATGATAGTGCACGGAGTATTCAGGAAGGATATGAGGTTTTGAAAATGGTGACGTGGCTACATGGCATCACAGGGTATGACTCCTGGCTTTATCTTTGAACTGGTCTTATATCAACCTTTCCATTCAACTGTTAGTAAATACATATTTGTTGAGTGCCTATTAGGGGCCAGGCACTGTTTTGAGTGCTAGGGATACAGCAGTCAACAAGATACCCTCATTCATGACCCTTCCAAGGTAACAGAAGGCTACATGTAGTTCATCAAATAAAATAAAAATATGTCAGGTGGTGGTAAGTGCAATGAAGGACAACATACAGAGTAATGGGACAGAGAGTGGGGGGAAGGTTGCTTTTGTAGGTAGAGCTATCAGAGAAGGCTCTTTGATGAGGTAATCTTTTAGCACATATCTGAATGGAATGGCGGGTGAGCTATGAAGATATCTGGTATGAAGCTGTCATAGGCAGAGAGAGAAAAATATAGATGCCTGGAAAATGAACGATGTTTCTCACTTTTGAGGAATAGCAAACGAGGCTGGCGAAAAGGTGGTGAGGAAATGAGATCCAACCTGTTGTAGGGCTCTGGGCCATGTGGGGTCCTGTTCATTGAGTAAGAACTTTGGAGTGTGCTCTCAATGCAGTAGGAAGCCGCTGGAAGGCTGTTGGTGAACCAAGCATTACAGCCACGTGAGCGATTCTAAATCTCCTGGGAAATCTAAGTTCTGTCCTACTGCAGGGCTTTTACCCATGCTGTGCCCTCTGCCAAGAATGTCTTTCCCCCACTCTTTACTGGGCCATTGCCTACTCCCCTTAGGGAAGTGTCTTTACTTCCCTTTTGTAGCACTTACCAAAAGGAACATTACACAATCATATGCATAACTTTCATTTCTCACTGTTTCTTCCACTAGATAGGGAGCTCCGTGAGGTAAGACAGTGTGGCTGTCCTCTTTATGCCTGTATCTTCAGTATCCAGTACAGGGTCTGATTTTTAAGAGGTGCTCAATAAATATTTATCAAATTAATGTGAAAATAAATGAAAGATAAAGATGAAAAGTCAAGTTGGAGCCTCTAACCCTGCAGTAGAGAAGCAACTCTGGCCTGCAGATCATAGAATGGCCACATGGAAAGCATATTAAGGGTGCAGTTCAGGGTACGATTCTGCCCAGCCCCTAATAACCATGGGCAAGAGAAATGGAAAGGAATTGAGACTGGAGGCAGAAAGAATAGAAAGCAATGTTTAAAGCTGTTTGATAGACTTCCTTTCCTGTGCAAAATTTTCATATTTGGGAGAAATGTATGTGTTATAGAGGATTTCATGAATTTAGGGATTTACCAAGGTCTGAGTAATGCTGCAGTGTATGGTGATAACAGTCAATGATTGCTAGTAGTATGATCAAACAACAACAAGAAGTACCAAGTAGCAGAGATTATACTATACAAGAGTCAGGAGATCTGAGTTTGTTCATCCATTTATTAATTTATTCAATCATTATTCATGCAACAAAATTGATTACTGACCACATGGTAGGGGCCAGGCCCTATGATAGGCACTGGATTTAGGTTCTGTTTGTTACCTACTAAGCATGCAAACTTGGGCAAGGCATTTAACATCTCTGTACAAGGAGGAAAAGAATCATTTATAAGGGAGTGGTCTTCCCCATTAAAGGAAAAGACAAAGCCCTCCATACTTTGTTCAGAGATCTGGGTTTCCAGATGGAGAGGTATGATGAGTAAAAGGCCTAAATTCTGTCTCCTTGAGTTTCCTTTTCCTCATAGAGTTCTAACTTGGATTCCTCTGGCACACCCAAAGAGTCTGGAATGGTTTCTATCATCTCCTTCGTGGCCTAGTAAAATCCCTACTTGTCCCCCAGGGCCCACATTAAATGTCTGAGCTCTTGAAACCTTCATTGGCTCTCTATTCCCTTAGCAAAATAAATCCCTCCCATCTGCCCCACTTTGAATGCTCAGCTCATCAATTTGTTGTGCAGCTGACTTCTCCATGTGATTGGAAGGTGGGTTCTTCTGAGAAGCATGTTTTCTTCCCTCTGTCTCTCCAGCCTTTGGCTAAGTGTCTGGCCCAGAATATATTGTCTGTAGTTAAATGGATAAAAAGTCACCAGTCCAGCAGAATAGCTGATAAGTGACACAATGGTGGAAGGAAGTCTGAACAGACTTACTATGACTCAGAAAAAGACACCTCTCAACTAAGCTAGCTAAGAATATCAGTAACTACTCACTGAGGGACACTGAGAGACCAGGGGGCCTCGGGGGTGGGAGGTAGGGGGTTGAGTTAATGGAACTTGCTTGTAGAAGACAGAAGGGTGGTCAATTATTTATTTTCCTTAATAAAATTATATTACACCCCATATCTTTGTAAGTTAGAGGTAGATGATGGCTTACTGAACTGTCTGTGCAGAGATGTGCCCAGGTCTTCAGATGGAAGTTTGAGCCTCAAATGACACACCCTTGAGGCCTATTGTGCCTTGGGCATCTCTAGCTCAGGGATGCTAATACTTTTTCTAATAGAATGTTAATAATTAAGGAACAAAGACATCCATCCTAAGTAGTGTGGTTGTTCCAGATATAGCAAAACTATGTATCTTGCTATATTGCTTTTGCTTTGTTTTTTTCTTTAATAAACCTTTGTTTGTTGAGTATGTACTATGCTGGTGCAGGCATTGTACTAAATGTTTTGCATGTATTGTATAATTTAAAACAAATGTAGCAAAATGGGGGGGAGCTGTTTTTATATTCCCCCTTGGAACACCTCTTGGGAAGAAAGCAAGTACAATTGCAAGCAATATTTTGATAGAGAATTTGAAGTGAGAGATGAGACCCCAAAAATCATAGTGAAGTAACATCAGATGACTGCTAAAAAAAATTTTCTGATAGACAAGTGGATGCCCATTTAATGGCAAGGCTTCTGAACTGCTGAGCAGCAACATGACCATGGGCTGTGCAATGGTGTGGAAGTTTGGAGCAGGACTGAATTGTTCATAAATAATAGAAGAGAAGCTGAGGACAGCTTTCAGGAGGGATATTGGGGATTGTGAAAGTCCCACTGTAGGACATGTGATAAAACATTCTCCATCTCCCCTAGGAAATCACCGGAAAACTCTTTCTTATTCCCTAATGCTCTTGGGAGATGAAGATTTTTTGGCAAGATAGAAAGAAAATCTGAGGTCAGCAAAGTCAGCAGACATAGGAGACAGCCATAAATCTGGGTGACATTTAATTCACAACCCAAGGAGGCAAAAGATATTACCCTAATTTTACAGGTAAGGAAATCAAGGCTTGGACAAGTCTGTTGTCCAAAACACACAGCTGGAGTGGCTGGACAGCCATTCGAACAGGTTTGCTTGTTTCCAAAGACTATAATTTTAACCCTAGAAGGTACTTCCCTCTACGATTCTATGACTGCTTCCTACTTATTAAAAGTTCAATAAGTTTGATGATGTCTTTGCCTAATTTTATTTTAAGCCACATTAATAACAGAAAACATCATTGTACATAGCATGGAAAGAAGGAGTGCTTCTAGCCATGGGGTATAAATAGCTAACTGATCTCCTGTCTTCAAAAAGGGACCAGAAGTGAAACTTCAGCAGGAGGAGTGACTGCACGTGAGGGAAGAGAGCAGCCTCTTTGCACACATGGGCACACACTGCCGAAAATGAGATTTGAGTTGTTGCTGCCATAATCTCCACAAACGCCCACCACAGAATGACATCACTGCCAAAGCCCAATTAGTTCAGAGAAGACCCTGGCACTGGATGATATTCCTTCAAGATGGCATGAAATTCCAAATATAAATTGGGTCCGCACTGGGCGATGATTCAAGAAATCGTATTGGCCAGTTCACAGGACTAGAAATCCTTTAGACAGGCTTTGGAAATTGTATCATTCCAGATACAGACAGAGGTATAGTTACAACTCAGACCTCTCAATAAACATCTAGAAAAAGAAATGCAGAGGTCCTCTGACAATGATGTGGTTATCATATCACGGATTACACTTACAGAAGATGGAGGAAAAGTTTATCGAGATGCATCGTCTTCCTAAGCTGCCTTATCTTTTCAGGAAAACAACTGTCAAACATTTAAAATAGTAAGAAATCTCCACATTTGAATTGCTCTCTACAATTTGCTTGCATGTACTTAATTGGATCTTACCTCCACGACAACCCAGTAGGATCAATACAATTATTGTTGCTATTTTATAGATGAAAGCCTAAGGTTTAAGAGAGGTACATTTTGAAGGTTACTTGAGGGCAGAGATTTTGTATCCCAATTCTTTATGTCTTCAGCTTGTTTCCTAGGGCCTGACCTGTCACAGGATGCTACAAATGCCAACTCAATTGGATGGAATGGAACTGAGTGACCTGCCCAAGCCCAAAGGTCACAGCAACAGAACTCACAGCCCAGTGTTCCTTCCTACCTGATGTGCTGTCACATCATCAGTCTAATGCTTACCATGCACCTGTTTTGTGTCTGGGCATGTGAAAAACACTGGAAATCCAGGTGGGCTCCATGTAATCATGCAGATCCATGGAAGAGGGAGGTGGAAGAGAGAGCCAGAGAGACAATAGTGTGAGGAGGGGTTGGCTCATCATTGCTAGTTTTGAAACTGGAGGAAGGAGCCATGAGCCAAAGAATGCAGGCAGCCTCCAGAAAGTTAGAAAAGGCAAGGAAATGGATTTGGCTTACTGCCTTCGGAAAGGATACCACCCTCAGGCACTTGGACTGTAACCCAGTGGAACCCATTTTGGACTTCTGACCTCCATAACTGTAAGATATTATTGTATTGTTTAAGTCAGTGGTCCCCAACCTTTTTGGCACCAGGGACTGGTTTCAT